>NC_000011.10:58161437-58464467 GCF_000001405.40 Homo sapiens | reverse complement strand
GCAAGATTCTGTCTAAAACAAAAACAAAAACAACACAAAACAAAACAAAAAAACAACAACGAAAGTGTTGGATTTACTTAGCATACCTTAAGGCAAGGCAGAAGTCATCCAGTCATTTTTTTACAATTAGGAAACAATTGTTTTATATTACCAAATATGTGATACCTAAAGGGAATATATATATATATATGGATATATATATATATAGGGATATATATATATAGGTGTATATATATATGGAGATATATATATATAGGGATATATATATATAAAGGGAATATATATATATATATAATGTCTATTAAGTCATGAAGCATAACAACACTCATGAAACAAATCAAAGAATAGAGCATTAGCAATGATATTACAGAACAAGGCAGAGAAACAAAAAGAGCCAGCATTCACAAGAGGCTCAGTATTTGTGGAGAACTCTGTGGTAGCATTAAATATGGGATGCAAAATGATCATTCCTGAAAAGTTGGTATGTGGAAAAGTGACACATGCCACATACACCCCCCACACACACCCTTGCCAGTGTATGTGCAAAATCCTGGGACCATACATGCCCCGCTTTTTCTACTCTAGATTAATTGTAAACATTCTTCATGTCTAAATGAATATTGGACAGTGTTTCTAGTCCAATATAAGTAGTAATGTAAAGTTCTGAGGTACTTTGAAAGATAAGTTCTGAGGTACTAGAAACAGGAATCTTGTTTCTAGTGCCCCGCTTCTTTAGGATCGGGACTATTACATTTCACATTACATTTCACCTTTTTTTGACTTATGTGTGGTACCATACATCAGTGGGTTGCAACAGTATAAGTTGCTTCCCTTTGCCACTGGATTTTCAGATGTTTGATTTTGAAATTCTGTCTCAAAACATATTTCAGGTGTTGATAATGTTTTGAAATGAAGCAATACTTTTGAAATTATGCAGTTAGCAGTGGAGCTAAGTCTTCAAACTAAGTCATCCTACTCCACCTCTAATACTGTTTCCATTAGCTCAGTAATACTGGCATACAGTTTTTCAGCTAGGATTGGATTTTGGTTAACAGCAATGGACATGCTAGTGGTTTAAGTAAGATAGAAGATTATTTCTCTTTTACATAGAAGAAAATCTGATCTGTCTGGTCTTTATCTTGGGTTTCTGGCATGGAGTATCTGAAATCCTTTGATTTTCCCAAATGATTAAAGTGTCTTTGTTATTCATGAGCCCTTTGGATCCATTTCACTTTATGCTAATGAGATAATTGAAGATGAGGGCTGATCACCCGAAAGACCACCCATGTGATTAGAAGGTTGGGGCCTTGAGCCAGCCTGCCTCCAGTGGGAGAAGTGGGACTGGAAATTGAGCTTAATTGTGTGGCTGAAATATAATCAATTATGCCTATACCATAAAACCTCAATAAAAACTTAGGATGCCAAAGCTCAGTGGAGCACCCTGGTTGGTGAACACATTCATGTGCTGGAGTGTGCCATGAGAAGAAGCTCTGTTTGGAACCTTCTCAGACCTCACACTTTGTATCTTTTCCTTTGGCTAGTCCTGATCTATATTCTTTATAATAAAACTGTAATTGTAAGCACAGTGCTTTCTTGAGTTCCATGAATCATTCTAGTGAATTATTAAACTTTAAAGGGTTGTGGAAACCCCTGAATTTATAGCCAGTCAAAAGTGTGAGTGATCTGGGGTGACCTGAAGTGCCTCTGGCATCTGAAGTGAGGGCAGTCTTGTGGAGGATTGAGCCCTTAACTTGTGGGATCTGCACTAACTCCAGATTGGATCTGCACTAACTCCAGGATTGAAGTACACCAGTCGGCGACAGAATATATGGCATCTTCAAGCAAAAATTAAGGACTGAAGTTCTTTTCAGGTCTCTGCCCTACAGGTCTACGTGTGTTTTTCATCCTATGGTTTAAAATGGTTGCTATTGCTCCAGCTAACAGATCAACATTCCAAAATAAATTTTAAAATGAGTAACCTCTCCCACTTGAAAATAATTTTTGAACCCAGAATTTAATAGGCTCTCTGAAGTCAGAGTGTTTGGAACTGAGTTGTCATTAAATTGTAAAAGTGTAAGAACACTTTTTAAGTTTACACCAGTAACTGTAAACTTTACAGAGATAAACTTTTGATTAGCTGACTTTCAGAACCACAGTCACTGCAGTAAAGCTCTCATTTTTTGTCTGGATTTTAGAGTGGGGACTGTAACTGATGAGGTGTCTTTAGGAGATGTACTTTTCATTAATTGGGTTACTGCATATTAGTGATTCTGTTTCCAGACTCTCCATTCTGTTTAATTGGTCTATATAGTTCTTGTGCCAATACACAATAATGTTTTTGCTTTATAGAAAGTTTTGATACATGGTTGTGTATGTCTTTCAGCCTTCTTTATTTTTTCAAAGTTATCTTGAGTATTCTTTCTTTATATTTTCATATAAATTTTAGAATCAATTTGTAAAATACCTGTTAGGATTTGTATTGCACTGCATTGGTAGATTAATATTGGGAGAAAAGCCTTTTTCTTTTTAAATTCACAAAATTAGGTCTTTTGATCCATGAATATGGTATATCCTTCCATCTACTATAGCCTCTTTATTTTCTCTCAATAATGTTTTGTAGCTTTTTTGTGCAGAAGTCTTGTACAACTACATTTTTGAGATTTATTTTTATATACTTGGTCATTTTGATGCTAGTGTGAGGTGCTATTTATTTATTTTATTTTCTATTTTTTGTTAGTATATAGAAATATAATTACATTAGTATATTGATCCTGTAACTACTGGCCTTGTTAAATTCATTTATTAATGTTAATATTTTCTCTTTAAATTATCTCAGAATATAAACACTATGATGACCTAAAAAATAATTTGGGAAGTTTTCTTTTTTCTATTTTTTGCCAGGCCTTGGTAATATTGGTATTATTTTTAAATGAAATGACTAGGTTTCATCATTGAAAATATATGTGCCTTGAGGTATCTTTTTATCTTAGAGAGAAGGTTTAAAAAAATTTTATACTTAGGCCAGGTGCGGTGGCTCATGTTTGTAATCCCAGCACTTTGGGAGGCTGAGGCAGACAGATCACGAGGTCAGGAGATTGAGACCATCCTGGCTAACACGGTGAAACCCCGTCGCTACTAAAAATACAAAAAAATTGGCCTGGCGTGGTGGCGGGCACCTGTAGTCCCAGCTACTCAAGAGGCTGAGGCAGGAGAATGGCGTGAACCCTGGGCATGGAGCTTGCAGTGAGCCGAGATCGCACCACTGCACTCCAGCCTGGGAGACAGAGCAAGACTCCATCTCAAAAATAAATAAATAAATAAATAAATAAATTTTATACTTAGATTTAAGTTTTCTAAATAAATAGAAGACCGTTAAACTTTTTCTTGATTCTTGTGTTAGTTTTGGTAAATTTTCTTCTAGGAATTTGTAAATTTTATATACATTAAAAAATTTAGTGGCTTTAAGGAATTCATAACAGTCTCACATTAAATTTTTTTTTATTATACTTTAAGTTCTAGGGTACATGTGAACAACATGCAAGTTTGTTACATATGTATACATGTGCCATGTTGGTGTGCTGCACCCATTAATTCGTCATTTACATTAGGTATAACTCCTAATGCTATCCCTCCCCACTCCCCCCACCACACAACAGGCCCCAGTGTGTGATGTTCCCCTTCCTGTGTCCAAGTGTTCTCATTGTTCAATTCCCACCTATGAGTGAGAACGTGCAGTGTTTGGTTTTTTGTCCTTGCGATCGTTTGCTGAGAATGATGGTTTCCAGCTTCATCCATGTCCCTACAAAGGACATGAACTCATCGTTTTTTATGGCTGCATAGTATTCCATGGTGTATATGTGCCACATTTTGTTAAATTTTTAATAATACCTTTTTCATTCCAGATGTTGGTAATTTGCGCTTCTCTATTGATAAGTTTTGTTAGGGATTAATACACTTAATTAGTATTTTTAAAATATCAAGTTTTGGCTTTGGTATTTAGAAGTTATATGATTTTTATTATTTCATTAGTATACAATTTAACTTTTATTATCATTTTCTTCTATTACCATTGGTTTAATTTTCTCTTCTTTTTTATCTTCTTGATCTGGATGCTGAAGTAATCGATTTTCAGTCTTTATTTTTTTCTAGGAATTTCTCCCTAAGCATAACGTTAGATGATTTAATAAAGTTTTTATTTCGTACACTTATGAGTATTCAGTGAAAATATTAACTTATTTTTTAATTGATTGACTAAATAACACATATTTATTGTGTACAACATAATTTTTTGAAACATATATACATTCTAGAATGGCTAAAGCTAGCTAATTAACATATGCATTACCTCAAAAAGTTATCATTTTGAGGGTGAGAACATTTAGAATCTACCCTTTTAATATTTTTCAAGAACACAATATCTTGTTGTTAAATATATGGATCATGTTGTACTGTAGGTTTTATGAATCTATTCCTCCTTTCTAACAGAAATTTTGTATCCTCTGACCAACATCTCCCCAAGGATTCACCCACCCCCGATATCACCCAACTTTTAGTAACTACCATTCTACTGTCTACTTCTATGAGATCAACTTTTTTAGATTGCACATATAAGTGAAATCATACGGTATTCTTTCTGTACCCAGTTTATTTCACTTAGCATGATGTCCTCCTGGTTTATCCATGTTGTCACAAATGAAAAAAATTTCTTCGTTTTAAAAAATATCTCAATAGTATTTTATTATATATATATCTAGTATTCTAATATATATATATATCACATTTCCTTTATCCATTCACCCATTGATGGACACAGGTTGATTTCATTTCTTGGCTACTGTGGATGATGCTGTAGTAAACATGGGAATGCAATTATCTGTTTGACATAGTGACTTTATTTCCTTTGGAGATCTACCTCGTAGTGGGATTGCTAGATTGTATGAAATTTTATTTTTAATTTGTTGAGGAAAGAATTCTTCATACTGTTATCCATAATGTCTGAACTAATTTACATTCCCACCAACAGTGTGAAAGTGTTTCTTTTTCTCCACATCCTCATCAACAGTTGTTATCTATTATGTTTTTCGTAATAGCCATTCTAACAGGAGTGGGGTGATATATCATTGTGGTTTTGTTTTGTGTTTTTTTGATGATTAGTAATGTTGAGCACTTTTTATGTACCTGTTGGCCATTCATATGTGTTTTCTGGAAAAAAAATATCTGTTCAGGTCGTTCGCCCATTTCTTAATCAGTCTATTTGTTTCCTTGTCCTTGAGTGTTTTGAGTTTCTGATATATTTTTATTAACTCTTGATCACATATTAGTAGTTAGCAAATATTTTCTCCCATTATGTAGGTTGCCTCTTTACTTTGTTGTTTTCCTTTACTATGCAGAAAGGTTTTAGTTTGACAGAATCCTATTTGCCTATTTTTGCTTCTGTTGCTTGTGCTTTTGAGGTCATACTACAAAATTATTGCCAAAACCAAAGTCAAGGAGCTTTTCTCCTATGTTTTATTTTAGGATTTTTAGGCTTTAATATGTTATATTTAAGTAACTAGTTTTGACAGTGTTTTTGGCGAGTGGCATAAGATAAGATAAGGGTCCAATTTTATTCTTTTGCATGTGGCTATACAGTCTTGTCAACATTATTTATTGAAGAGACTATTACTTCCCCATTGTGTACTCTTGGTGTTTCTGTCAAATATTAGTTGACTGTATAAGTCTGGGTCATATCTGAGTTATATTCTGTTCCACTGGTATATATGTATGTTGTTATTCCAGAACTGGGCTGTTTTGATTCCTGTATATTTATAATATAGTTTGAAATCATGAAGCCTGATGTCTTCAGCTTAGTCCTCTCTAAATATTGTTTTGGTTATTCAGGATCTTTTGTGGTACTATACAAGTTTAAGAATTGCTTTTTCCATCTTTGTGAAAAATGCCATTGAAATTTTCATAGAGATTTATTAAATCGGTAGATCACTTTGGGTAGTGTGATCATTTTAACAATATTAATTCTTCCAATCCATGAACAGATGATATCTTTCCATTTTTTTTTTCTTCTTTAGTTTCTTTTATAATGACTTACAGTTTTCAGTGTACAGATCTTCTTTTACCTCTTTGGTGAAATTTGTTCCTGAATATTTTTTTTTTTATGCTATTGTAACTGAGATTTAAATTTTTTCTCTGTTAGGTAGTTGATTGTTCATGTATTGAAACATTACTGACTTTTTCCCTAGTTTTTAGTTGTCTTCACTTTTGTTTATTTTTGAATAGATATGTTTTAAAGCTTTTTTTTTTTTTTTAATTATACTTTAAGTTCGGGGATATGTGTGCAGAACGTGCAGGTTTGTTACAGAGGTATACACGTGCCATGGTGGTTTGTTGCACCCGTCAACCCGTCAACTACATTAGGTATTTCTCCTAATGCTATCCCTCCCCTAACCCCCCACCCCCGACAGGCCCCATTGTGTGGTGTTCCCCTCCCTGTGTCCATGTATTCTCATTGTTCAACTCTCACTTACGAGTGAGAACATGCTGTGTTTGGTTTTCTGTTTCTGTGTTAGTTTGCTGAGAATGAGGGTTTCCAGCTTCATCCATGTCCCTGCAAAGGACATGAACTCATCCTTTTTTATGACTGCATAGTATCCCATGGTATATATGTACCACGTTTTTTTTTTTATCCAGTCTATCATTGATGGTTATTTGGGTTGGTTCCAAGTCTTTGCTATTGTGAACAGCACTGCAATGAACATGCGTGTGCATGTTTCTTTATAGTAGAATGATTTATAATCCTTTGGGTATATACTCAGCAAGGGGATTGCTGGGTCAAATGGTATTTCTGGTTCTAGATCCTTGAGGAATTGCCACACAGTCTTCCACAATGGTTAAACTAATTTACACTCCCACCAACAGGAAACACTACTGATTTTTATATGTTGCTTTTGTATCCTGCAACTTTACTGACTTTTTTTTTATTACCTCTAACAGTTTCTTGACAGAGTCTTCAGGGTTTGTTTTGTTTTGTTTTTTGAGACAGTATTTCTCTCTTGTCACCTAGGCTGGAGTGCAATGGTGCGATCTCAGCTCACTGCAACCTCTGCATCCTGGGTTCAAGTGATTCTCCTGCATCAGCCTCCTGAGTAGCTGGGATTACAGGTGCAGACCACAACGTCTGGCTAATTTTTGTATTTTTAGTTGAAACGGGGTTTCACCATGTTGGCCAGGCTGGTCTCGAACTCCTGATCTCAGGTTATCTACCCACCTCAGCCTCCCAAGTGTTGGGATTACAGGCATGAGCCACCGCACCCTGCCTAGGGTTTTCTATGTATAAGATCACAACGTCTGCAAACACGAACTTTACTTCTTTCTTTCTGATTTCGATGCCTTTTGGTTTTTGTTGTTGTTGTTGCCTAATTACTCTGGCTAGGACTTTCAATACTACATTGAATAGCAGTTGTGTGAGTGGATATACTTTTGTTTCTGATATTTGATGAAAAAGTTTCAACGTTTACCATTGAGTATGGCATTAACTGAGGGCTTGTCACATATGGCATTTATTATGTTGAGGTACCTTCCTTCTATACCCAATTTTTTACAATTTTTATCATAAAAAATGTTGAATTTGTCAAACGCTTTTTCTGCATCAAGATGAACATACAATTTTTATTCTGTTAATCTTTTTCTTAATGTGGGATGTCACATGTACTGATCTGTGTATATTGAAACATGCTTGCGTTCCAGCGATATTTTGTTATCATATATGAACCATTTGATGTGCTGTTTAATTGATTTGCTAGTATTTTGTTGAGGATTTTTGCATCTTTGATCATCTGGGGGTATTGGCCTATAATTTTCTTTTCTTGTATGTCCTACTCTGGCTTTGATATCAGGGTATCATAGCTTCATAAAATGATTTTCAAAGTGTTCCCTCCTCTCCAATCTTTTGGAATAGTTTGAGAAGAATTGGCATTTATTCTTTAAATGTTTGATATAATTCACCAGTGAAGCTATCTGGTGCTAGACATTTATATGACTGTAGAGTTTTATTACGAATTCAATGTCCGTACTTGTTATTGATCTATTCAGCTTTTCTACTTCTTAATGAGTCTTTGTAGATTATATATTTCCAGTAATTTATCCACTACTTCTAGGTTATTCAATTTGTTAGTGTATAATCATTCATAGTCATCTCATTATCCTTTTCATTTCTGTGATATCAGTTATAATGTATCATCTTTCATTTATAATTTTTTATAATTTATAAATTATTTTTATTTTATTTAAAGTTTCGTCAACTGTTTATCTTTTCAAAAAGCTAACTCTTAGTTTTATTGTTCTTTTCTATTGTTCTTTTAGTCCCCATTTTATTTAATTTCGCTCTGATCTTTGTTGTTATTACCATTATTATTATTTTAGAGACAGAGTCTCTACTTTGTGGAGTGCAGTGATACAATCATGGCTCACTGCAGCTCCAAGCTCCTGGGCTCAAGTGACCCTCCTGCCTCAGCCTTCCTAGTAGCTGAGACAATAGGTGCACACCATTACACCAGGCTAATTTTTAAATTTTTTATACAGAACGGGTCTTGCTATGTTGCCCAGTCTGGTCTCAAACTCCTGGCCTCAAGTGATTCTCCTGCCTTGGCCTTCCAAAGTGCTGGGGTTATAGGTGTGAACCATTGTGTCTGACTTGATTTTTGTTATTTCCTTATTTCTACTAGCTTTGTATTTACTTTCATTTTTTTTTCTAGTTTACTAAAGTGTATACTTAGGTTGTTTATTTCATATATTTCTCTTTTCTTCATGGGTGGCATTTATCACTAAAACTTTCCTCTTATAGCGGTTTTTCATCCATCCTATATGTTTGGTATGTTGTGTGTTCATTTTTGTTTGTGTCAAGATATTTTAAAATTTCCCTTGGATTTCATGTTTGACCCATTGGTTGTTCAAGCATGTGTTCTTGATTTTTACATACTTGTCAGTTTTCTGAAATTTCTCCTATTGTTTTCTAATTACCATTGCAGTTGGAAAAGACACTTGATAAAACTGCAATCCTCTTAAATTTTTAAGACTCGTTTTTTGGCTCAATATATAATCTGTTATAGAGAATGTTCCACATATGCTGCTGTGGGATGAAATGCTCTGTAGGTCTGCAGGGATGAAATTACCTTTTAGGTCTGTTAGTTTTATTCACTCTAAACCCTAATTCAATCCAATGTTTTCTTATTGATTTTATTCCTGAATGATCTATGCATTGTTGAAAGTGAGGTATTGAAGTCCGTTGTATTATCAATTGCTGTATGTTTTTCCCTAAACACCTATTATTTGCTTCACGTATTACGGTGTTCTGATGTTGGGTGCATGTATGTTTATAATTGTAGTAGCCTCTTGATGGATTGTTCCCTTTATCATTTTATAATAACCTTCTTCATTCCTTTTTGTAGTTTTTGACTTAAAGTCTATTTTGTGTGATATAAGTATAGCTACTTCTTCTCTCTTATGGTTTCCATTTGCATGGAAAATCTTTTTTCATCCCTTCGCTCTTAATTTATATATGTCCTTAAAGCTTAAGTGAGTTTCTGTTGGCAGCATTTAGTTGGGTCTTTTTGTTTTTTATCCATTTAGTAATTCTTTGATAGAAGAACTTATTTACATTTAAAATGGTTATTAATAAGTAAGAACTTACTATTGTCATTTTGCTAATTATGTTCTGGCTGTTTTGTAGATCCCTTTATTCCTCCATTGCCATTTTTCTTTACAATTTGTTGATTTTCTGTAGTGGTATGCTTTGATTTCTTTTCATGTTTTGTATATTCATGATAGATGTTTGATTTTGATTACCATGAGGCTTACTGAAAATACTTTATAGTTATATCAGTTTATTGTTTTAATTTTATTATTATTATACTTTAAGTTTTAGGGTACATGTGCACAATGTGCAGGTTAGTTACATATGTATACATGTGCCATGCTGGTGTGCTGCACCCATTAACTCGTCATTTAGCATTAGGTATATCTCCTAATGCTATCCCTCCCCCCTCCCCCCACCCCACAACAGTCCCCAAAACAAGCAATGGGGAAATGATTCCCTATTTAATAAATGGTGCTGGGAAAACTGGCTAGCCATATGTAGAAAGCCAAAACTGGATCCCTTCCTTACACCTTATACAAAAATTAATTCAAGATGGATTCAAGACTTAAACGTTAGACCTAAAACCATAAAAACCCTAGAAGAAAACCTAGGCATTACCATTCAAGACATAGACATGGGCAAGGACTTCATGTCTAAAACACCAAAAGCAATGGCAACAAAAGCCAAAATTGATAAATGGGATCTAATTAAACTAAAGAGCTTCTGCACAGCAAAAGAAACTACCATCAGAGTGAACAGGCAACCTACAAAATGGGAGAAAATTTTCACAACCTACTCATCTGACAAAGGGCTAATATCCAGAATCTACAATGAACTCAAACAAATTTACAAGAAAAAACCAACAACCCCATCAAAAAGTGGGCAAAGGATATGAACAGACACTTCTCAAAAGAAGACATTTATGCAGCCAGATAACACGTGAAAAAATGCTCACCATCACTGGCCATCAGAGAAATGCAAATCAAAACCACAATGAGATACCATCTCACACCATTTAGAATGGCAATCATTAAAAAGTCAGGAAACAACAGGTGCTGGAGAGGATGTGGAGAAATAGGAACACTTTTACACTGTTGGTGGGACTGTAAACTAGTTCAACCATTGTGGAAGTCAGTGTGGCAATTCCTCAGGGATCTAGAACTTGAAATACCATTTGACCCAGCCATCCCATTACTGGGTATATACCCGAAGGACTATAAATCATGCTGCTATAAAGACACATGCACACGTATGTTTATTGCGGCACTATTCACAATAGCAAAGACTTGGAACCAACCCAAATGTCCAACAATGATATCAGTTTATTTTAAGCAGATAACAACTTAACTTTGATTGCATATAAAAATACTACACTTTTGGCCGGGCGCGGTGGCTCACGCCTGTAATCCCAGCACTTTGGGAGGCCGAGGCGGGTGGATCATGAGGTCAGGAGATCGAGACCATCCTGGCTAACAAGGTGAAACCCCGTCTCTACTAAAAATACAAAAAATTAGCCGGGCGCGGTGGCGGGCGCCTGTAGTCCCAGCTACTCGGGAGGCTGAGGCAGGAGAATGGCGTGAACCCGGGAAGCGGAGCTTGCAGTGAGCCGAGATTGCGCCACTGCAGTCCGCAGTCCGGCCTGGGTGACAGAGCGAGACTCCGTCTCAAAAAAAAAAAAAAAAAAAAAAAAAAATACTACACTTTTATCCCCCCCCCTCCACATTTTAGGTTTATGTCATAATTTATTTCTTTTTATATTGTGTATCTTTTTATAAATTATCGTAGCTATAGTTATTGATATAGTTTTGTGTCTTAACTTTTATACTAGAGATATAATTGATGTCCACATCATCATTACAATATGATGTTGTACTTACTTTTACCATGAGTTTTTACTTTCATATGCTTTTATGCTACTAATTAGGATCCTTTTATTTCAGCTTGAAGAACTCCCTTTATCATTTTATGTAAGACAGGTCTAGTATTTATGAACTCCCTTAATTTTTGTTTGTTTGGGAAAGTTATCTCCTTCATTTCTAAAGGACAACTTTGCCAGGCAGAATATTCTTCATTGGCAGGTTTTTGTTCTTTCACTACTTTGAATATATTATCTGCTCTCTCCTAGCCTGCAGTTTATTCTGATAAATACACTGATAGCTTTTGGGGGGGTTCCCTTCCATGTGAGTATATATATTTTTTTCTTTGCTGCTTTCAAAGTTCTCTTTTCTTTATTTTTTGACTATTTGCTTATAGTATGTCTTCTTGTGGTTTTCTTTGGGTTGAATCTAATTGAAGACCATTGGCTTTTCTATGCTTGGATATTTATATCTTTCCCTAGATTTGATAAGTTTTCTGCCATTTTAACTTTAGGTTTCTGTTCCCTTTCCCTTTCTTCTTATTCATTAAGGTTTTTAATGCTAAAGTTAACTATCTTGATGCTGTCTCATAAATTTCATAGGCTTGTGTATTTATTTATTTATTTGTTTTCCATAAGTTATAGGGGTACAGGTGGCATTTGGTTACCATGAGTAAGTTCTTTAGTGGTGATTTGTGAGATTTTGGTGCACCCATCAACGAGCAGTATACGCTGCACCGTATTTTTAGCCTTTTATCCCTTGCTTCTCTCCCACTCTTCCCCACAAGTCCCCAAAGTTGATTGTATCATTCTTTTTTTTTTCATCTTAATGCAAATGTTTAATTTCTGTTTTATTTACTTTTGGTTTACATTTTCATATATATTTATAGTTTAAATAGGTGCAATCACATTACACTGTACTTTTTTTAGTTAACATCATACGGTAAACATTTGAAGCATTCTTGCATGTTTCTCCCTAGTCTTTATAATTACTGTTTTCCTAGAGTCGTGATGGTGCATCAAGTTGACAGATCATACTTAATCAACCCCCTCTTACTGGGTGTTTATATTACTACCACTGCTTAGGCAGTGAAGCCTGTAAAAGAGGTGCTTTTCATCCATCTTCATAAATGTGGCTATGGAGTGTAGCAGCTCGAGAGCCTGCAAGGGATGTTGTGGATTCTGGTTCCCACATCAAGGAGATGCAAGCTGGCCTTCATTATAAGGGCTGCATGACTGAGGTTGGGTACTACAACCCTCGAGTCTTCCTCTCTGTTCTCTCTTTTAGGTCCTTCTCCATGAAAAAACTACAAAGCAAATCAAATCCACTGTGCATAGGATGTAAAACCTATGTTTTCCAGAAGAAATCTAATGTGTTTGAATGAAAAATTCTCTAGAGCATCAATTTGATTTAACAAAATGTATTAAGGGGCTGCTATATGGTAAAATTGCCGTGGTTAACCTCAAAAGCTGTGACTCAGAGAGACCTGGAGTTATATTTCTGCTCTGTTCTATAATGATTGAATAGCCACAGCAAGTTATTTCATCTTTCTCAGACACAGTTTCCTCAGTTGAAAAAATGAGAAGCCCATGATTTAATACAAGTAAAATATTTAGCATGTCTATGGCACACAGTTAGTGTAGAATAAAGCATAGCTATTATTATTATTGTTGTCTTTATTATGTGTCTTCCAGGCTAAGCACCTTAGGCAAGTTATATTACTCACAGAAGCCTCTATTTCCATATCTATAAAACGGAACTCATACTAGTATCTACCTTTTTTTTTTAATATATACTTTAAGTTTTAGGGTACATGTGCACAATGTACAGGTTTGTTACATATGTATACATGTGCCATGTTGGTGTGCTGCACCCATTAACTCGTCATTTAACATTAGGTAAATCTCCTAATGCTATCCCTCCCCACTCCCCCCACCCCACAACAGGCCCCGGTGTGTGATGTTCCCCTGACTGTGTCCAAGCATTCTTATTGTTCAATTCCCACCTATGAGTGAGAACATGCAGTGTTTGGTTTTTTGTCCTTGTGATCGTTTGCTGAGAATGATGGTTTCCAGCTTCATCCATGTCCCTACAAAGGACATGAACTCATCATTTTTTATGGCTGCATAGTATTCCGTGGTGTATATGTGCCACATTTTCTTAATCCAATCTATCATTGTTGGACATTTGGGTTGGTTCCAAGTCTTTGCTATTGTGAATAGTGCCACAATAAACATACGTATGCATGTGTCTTTATAGCAGCATGTTTTATAAGCCTTTGGGTATATACCCAGTAATGGGATGGCTTCTTACACCTTTATGTGCTCATAGCTTAGCTCCCATATATCAGTGAGAACATACAATGTTTGGTTTTCCATTCCTGAGTTACTTCACTTAGAATAATAGTCTCCAATCTCATCCAAGTCTCTGCAAATGCTTTTCATGCATTCCTTTTTATGGTTTGGTAGTATTCCATTGCATATATATATGTATATACTACAGTTTCTTTTTCTTTTTTTTTCAGAGGGTATTCCACTCTTGTTGCCCAGGCTGGAGTGTAATGGTGCAATATCAGTTCACTGCAACCTCTGCCTCCCAGCTTTAAGTGATTCTCTGGCCTCAGCCTCCTGAGTAGCTGGGATTACAGGCAGCACATCTGGCTAATTTTTGCATTTTTAGTAAAGATGGGGTTTCACCATGTTGGCCAGGCTTGTTTTGAACTCCTGACCTTAGGTGATCCTCCCTTCTCAGCCTCCCAAAGTGCTGGGATTATACTACAGTTACTTCATCCACTTGTTGATTGGTGTACAGAAGGGGTCTTGCTATGTTGCCCAATCTGGTCTCAAACTCAGTCACATTTGGGTTGGTTTCACAATTTTGCAATTGTGAATTGTGCTGTAATAAACGTGCGTGTGCAAGTATCTTTTTTGAATGATGACTCCTTTTCCTCTGGGTAGATACCCAGTAGTGGGATTGCTAAATCAAATGGTAATTCTACTTTTAGTTCTTTAAGGAATCTCCACACAGTTTTCCATAGTGGCTGTACTAGTTTACATTCACACCAGCAGTGTAGAAGTGTTCCCTGATCACCAAACCACATCCACATTAACACCTACTGTTTCTTTATTTTTGATTATTGCCATTCTCGCAGGAGTAAGGTGGAGTCGCATTGTGGTTTTGATTTGCATTTCTCTGATTATTATTGATGTTGAGCATGTTTTCATCTGTTGGCCATTTGTATATCTATTTTTGAGAATTGTCTATTTACTTCCTTAGCCCGCTTTTTCATGGGATTGTTTGTTTTTTTCTTACTGATTTGTTTGAATTTGTTGTAGATTCTAGATGTTAGTCGTTTGTCAGATGTATAGATTGTGAAGATTTTCTCCCGCTCTGTGGGTTGTCTGTTTACTCTGCTTACTATTCCTTTTGCCAGGCAAAAGCTCTTTAATTAGTTCCCAGCTATTTATCTTTGTTTTTACTGCATTCGCTTTTGGGTTCTTGGCCATGAAATCCTTGCCTAAGCCAATGTCCAGGAGGGTTTTTCCAATGTTATCTTCTAGAATTTTTATAGTTTCAGGTCTTAGATTTAAATTCTTAATCCATCTTGGGCTGATTTTTGTATAAGGTGGTCAATGTGCTTATTTTTATGCCAGTACCATGCTGTTTTGGTGACTATGGTCTTACAGTATAGTTTGAAATCAGGTAATGTGATGTCTCCAGATTTGTTCTTTTTGCTTAGTCTTGCTTTGGTTATGCAGGCTCTTTTTTGGTTCCATATGAATTTTAGAATTGCTTTTCCTAATTCTGTGAAGAATGGTGGTGGTATTTTATTGGAAATTGCATTGATTTTAGATTGCTTTTGGCAGTATGATCATTTTCACAATATGATTCTTCCTATCCATGAGTGTGGGATGTGTTTTCATTTGTTTGTGTTGTCTATAATTTCCTTCGGCAGTGATTTGTAGTTTTCCTTGTAGAGGTCTTTCACCTCCTTGGTTAGGTATATTCCTAAGTAAAAAGTTTCAGGTATTAGGCTTAAGTCTTTAATCCATCTTGAGTTGAATTTTGTATAAGGTGAGAGATGAGGATCCAGTTTCATTCTCATACATGTGGCTAGCCAGTTATCCCAACACCACTTGTTGAAAAGAGTGTCCTTTCCCCACTTTATGTTTTTGTTTGCTTTGTTGAAAATTAGTTGGCTGTAAGTATTTGGGTTTATTTCTGGGTTCTCTATTCTGTTCCATTGGTCTATGTGCCTGTTTTTATACCAGTACCATGCTGTTTTTTGACTATGGCCTTATAGTATAGTTTGAAATCAGGTATGCCTCCAGATTTGTTCTTTTTGCTTAGTCTTGCTTTGGTTATGCAGGCACTGTTTTGGATCCATATGAATTTTAGAATTTTTTTTTTCTAATTCTGTGAAGAATGATGGTGGTATTTTTATGGGATTGCATTGAATTTGTAGATTTTTTTGGCAGAATGGTCATTTTCACAATATTGATTCTTTTGGTGTCCATTTGCATGAAATGCCTTTTTCCACCCCTTTACTTTAAGTTTATGTGAGTTATGTAAGTTTATGTGAGTCCTTATGTGTTAGCTTGGTCTCCTGAAGGCAGCAGATAGTTGATCAGGGAGTTCTTATCCATTCTGTGGTTCTGTTCAATGTTAGTATTGAAATGTGAGGTATCATTGCATTAATCGTGCTCTTTGTTGCCTGTGTGCTTTGTTTTTTGTTTTTGCTTTTTCACTTGTATTTTTGTTTTATAGGTTCTGTGTGATTTATGCTATTTTCATGTGTTTCCAGGATTTGTTTCAAGATTTAGATCTCCTTTTGGCGGTTCTTTTAGTGGTGGTTTGGTAATAGTGAATTCTCTCATCATTTGTTTGAAAAAGACTGTATCTTTCCTTCATATATGATGCTTAGTTTCACTGGATACAAAATTCTTGGCTGATAATTGTGTTTGAGGAGGCTGAAGACAGGGCCCCAATCCCTTCTAGCTTGTAGGGTTTCTGCTGAGAAATTTGCTGTTAATCTGATGGGTTTTCCTTTATACGTTACCTGATGTTTCTGTCTCACAGCTCTTCAGATTCTTTCCTTCATCTTAACTTTGGATAACCTGATGACAATGTACCTAGCTGATGATCTTTTTGAGATGAATTTCCCAGGTGTTCTCTGTGTTTCTTGTATTTGGATGTCTAGGTCTCTAGCAAGGCCAGGGAATTTTTCCTCAATTATTCCCCCAAATATGTTTTCCAAGCTTTTAGAATTCTCTTCCTCCTAATGAACACCAATTATTCTTATGTTTGGTCGTTTAACATAATCTCAGACTTCTTGGATGCTTTATTTATATTTTCTCACTCTTTTTTTTTTGTCTTTGTTGGATTGGGTTAATTCAAAGACCTTGTCTTTGAGCTCTGGATCTTTCTTCTACTTGTTCAATTCTATTGCTGAGACTTTCCAGAGCATTTCACATTTCTAAAAAATGTATCCAATGTTTCCTGAAATTTGATTGTTTTTTCTTTAAGCTATCTACTTCCTTGTGTATTTCTCCCTTCACTTCTTGTATCGTTTTTTGGATTTCCTTGCATTGGGCTTCGCCTTTCTCTGGTGCCTCCTTGATTACCTTAATAACTAACCTCCTGAATTTTTTTTCAGGTAATCAAGGATTTCTTCTTCATTTGAATCTATTATTGGTGAATTAGTGTGATTTTTTGGGAGTATTTTGTTTGGATTTTTGGAGCATATTATCAGGGCTGGTTTCCTGGTTCCTTCTCATTTGGGTAGTTTCTGTCAGAGGGAAGGTCTAGGGCTCAAGGCTGTTGTTCAGATTCTTTTGTCCCATGGGTTGTTCCCTTGATATAGTATTCTCCCTCTTTTCCTATGGATGTGGTTTCCTGTGAGCTGAGCTGCTGTGATTGTTGTCTTTCTTCTAGGTCTAGCCAACCAGTTAGTCTACCTGGCTCTGGGCTGCTACTGGGGGTTGTCTGCACAGGGTCCTGTGATGTGAACCATCTATGGATCTCTCAGCCAAGGATACCAGCACCTTCCAGTGCAAGTAGCTGGGGGCTGGGGTGGGGGTGGCGGGGCGGTGAAATGGACTCTGTGAGGATTCTTAGCTTTAGTAGTTTAATGCTCTATTTTTGTGCTTTTTGGCCTTCTGCCAGGAGGTGACACTTTCCAGAGAGCATCAGTTGTGGTAGTATGGAGAAGAACTAGTGGTAGGTGGGCCCCTAGAACTCCCAAGATTATATGCCCTTCAGCTACCACAGTGGGTAGGGAAAAACCATCAGGTGGGGCAGGGCTAGGGGTATCTGAGCTCAGACTCTCCTTGGGCGGGTCTTGCTGTGGCTTCTGTAGGGGATGGGGGTGAGATATCTCAGCTTATTGGAATTGTGTACCTAGGAGGATTATGGCAGCCTTTGCTGAGTCATGCAAGTTGTTAGGGAAGTCAGGGAAAGCCGGCAGTCACAGGCCTCACCCAGCTCCCACACAAACTGAAAGACCAGTCTCACTCCCACCATGCCCCACCCCAGCAGCCCTGAGTCTATTTTTAGGTGGTGGGGGAAACGGGCTTGAAAACTCGCCCCAGGCTACCTGCCTCCCATCTTCGAAAGAAAGGTGTTTGGTTGTTCCCCTGCCTGTGGAATCTGCACACCAGATTTGCGCCCTCCCCAAAGTTCTGGCCAGGAGGCTTCTTGCCCTGTTCAAATTGTTACAGAGCTCAGCTAAAGATTTCCTTCTCCCTGTGTAGTTTTACCCCCTGCTCTTCTGGCCACCCTTCCAAGGATCCCTGTGGTGTCAAGCAGGAATGGGCTGTTTGGGGGCCTAGCGAGCTCCTAGGACTTTTCTGATCCTTCTTTTACCCCTGTATTTCACTCAGCTCTCTAAATTGACTCAGCTCCAGGTAAGGTCAGAACTTTCTCCCACAAACAGACCTTCAATTTCTCTAGTGGGGGGTGTGTGTTCGGGACAGGAGGTCTCCCTTTCCCACTTCTGCAGTTGGGGCAGTCACGGTGTTTGGAGTGTGTCCCAGGTCCTGCTGGAGCAGTCCACTTCTTTCAGAGGGTCTGTGGGTACTCTCGAGATTGATGGTTTGTTCTTAAAGTTGATCTGGAGCTTAAATTCAGAATGTGAGCCTCCACACACTGCTCTGTCCAGAATTATAATCTAGTCCTGCCTCCCCTCTGCCATGATGATCTCCATAGGCTTTCTTCATTTCTTTTTATCCTTTTTACTTTTTTCTTCTCTGATTTTATTTTTTCAAATAATCTATCTTCAAGTTTACAAATTCTTTCTTCTGTTTGATCAATTCTGCTGATGACCTGCATTTGGTATTTTATGCATTGTATTCTTCCACTCCAGGCTTTATGGAGTTTTTAAATTCTTAATCTCTTTGTTAAACTTCTTGTTTTGCTCATATATTGTTTTACTGGTTTCAATTTGTTGTCTCTCTGTGTTCTCTTTTAGTTTGCTGAGCCTCCTTAAGACAACTATTTTGAATTCTTTGTCAGGCAGTTTGTAGATCTCCATTTCTTTGGGGCTTGTTACTGGAAATTATTATTACTACTATTATTTGAGACAAGGTTTTGCTCTGTCCCCAAGGCTGGAGTGCAGTGACACAATCATGGCTCACTGCAGTCTCAAACTCCTGGGCTCAAGTGATTTTCCTGCCTTAGGCTCCCTGGTATCTGGGACTACAGATATATGCCACTATGCCCACCTAATTTCTTTATCTTTAGTAGAGACAGGGTCTTGCTCTGTTGCCCAGGCTGGTCTTCACCTCCTGAACTCAAACATTTCTCCTGCCTTGGCCTCCCAAAGGGCTGGGATTACAGGCAAGAGCCACTATGCCTGGCTGATATTATTCTTTTGGTGGTAACATATTTCCTTGTTTTTTCATATATCCTGTTATCCTTCATTGATGTCTGCACATTTGGTAGAACAGTCACCTCTTCCTGACTTTATGTGCTGGTTTCACTGGGAAAAGGCTTTCCCTTAAGGGAGAGTGCTATGGCACTGACTGGGAGAGATTTGGCGGTTTGGGCTCTGGCAAGGGTGCAGTGGCATAGTCTTTGTGCTGCTCTGTCAACTTAGGTTGGCATTGGTGAAGATTGCAGGGATTTTAGAAGCCAAGACTGTGGGTATCAATAGCAGCAGTAAGAGCTAATGGGGTCTTCAGTGGTGAAGGCCACTGAGGTTTTCTCAATCTCTTTTTATTCCACAGGGAAATCATGGCTGAGGAGATCACTTTTGGCACAGTGTCCAGTGGGTACACCTGTAGTTGTGGTGACACTGATATCAGATGCATGGTGCTTGTGCAACAGTCCTGGAGTCAAGATCTGAAGCATGGACATGCACAGAGGCATAATCACTCTGGAGTCTGAAGTGTCGATGACATGAATGCCTTGGGTGTAGATGCCCCACTGCTGCATTGATAACTGTGTGTGGGGCACAGATGCTTGTAAAGCAGCTGAGAAGCTGGGGGCCAAAGTCCAGGCATGTGCAGAGATACAGTGGCTCTAGGGTCCAGAGTGTAGGTTTGCTCAGAGCTACCGTGACTCTGGGCTCTGGGCCTCAAGCTGCTCAATATTGTAGTGGAGTTGGTGCATGAAGTGAGTATGCACACACAGCAACTGGGGCTCTAAGGTGTGGGGTGTGGCTAACCTATAACAGTAGTGGCTCCAGTGTTTGAGGCATGTGCAAAATTGGAAGGAATGGTGGCTTTGGCCATGGGGCAACAAAGCAGTTGCCCCTTCTGGGAGCATTGGTCCAGCAGTGTTTCCTTTTCTGGGGGCTCCACGGTGGGGATGGCTGTTGATTATCTTGGTAGTGAAAGATGGCAGTGTTCTCTGTAGAGCAGGTTGCTGGGAACAATGGTGGCATTCATAACATGGTTGATAATGCTAGAACTTGCTTTTCTTTGTTCCTAGACATCTCTAGACATGTCGGTTAATACATATCTCCAACAGTCTTTTCTATGTGGTTATTCCCCTCCCACATTTTTTATTTCACTATGTTGCTACAGGTTTTTAAATGGTCCCTTGAGTCCTACTAAGGCTATTATCATTCATGGATAATTATCGGTTGATTTTTTGTGTGAGGGGAAGAGGATTGTATCTCCTATTCTGCCATCTTGTTTATGTGTCACTCTGTTTGTTTTGTTTGTCAAGGTTTCTTTGGTGGAGGATGCTGAAATAGAAATTGACAAGGAAGAGGTCTAGTTATGAAGAAAACATACTGGCTTCTTTTAGATTTTGTTAACTGTTTTGAAACTTGGGTCCTTTACTACATACATTTCATTTTGTTTGGAATGATCTTTTCCATACTAGTTCTTTGTCATTTTTAAACTTGGCTGAAATCTTTTTTTTTTTTTTGAGACGGAGTCTCGCTCTATCCCCCTGTCCCCCAGGCTGGAGTGCAGTGGTGCGATCTCGGATCGCTGCAAGCTCCGTCTCCCGGGTTCACGCCATTCTCCTGCCTCAGCCTCCCGAGTAGCTGGGACTACAGGCGCCCGCTACCACGCCCGGCTATTTTTTTGTATTTTTTAGTATAGACGGGGTTTCACCGTGTTAGCCAGGATGGTCTTGATCTCCTGACCTCGTGATCCGCCTGCCTCGGCCTCCCAAAGTGCTGGGATAACAGGCTTGAGCCACCGCGCCTGGCCAAACTTGGCTGAAATCTTAATTTTCCAGAGAAAACATTCTGACCAAACAATATAAAGTAGACTTATTTTTTATCTCATTTTTATGTATAGTTACATGCTTATTCCACACATAATTATATATATGTACATATGTATTTATATGTGTAAATATGCATATTTACGCATGTTTCTTACGGGGTTTATTTGCTTACTGTCTATCTTCTCCATTAGATTTAAACACCATGGGCACAAGAATGATGTTTATTTTGAATGGGTCTATGTTCTCAGCTCTCATTACTATGGCTAAAATCCATTTGCAATCAATAAACAGTTGATGAATTAATATTTCTTCTCAATGGTTCAAACATTTAAGGTGAATTAAAAGAAGTACTAATCCCTGAAGTCCACATCCCTTATTTAATGATAAAATGTATGTCTCTGTCTCTTAGTATTTATGTCAAATAACAGTCTTGAAGGACATGCTGTGGCTTAA
Organism: Homo sapiens; assembly: GCF_000001405.40. NCBI lineage: Eukaryota > Metazoa > Chordata > Mammalia > Primates > Hominidae > Homo > Homo sapiens. Next base: position 58,442,846 of record NC_000011.10, on the reverse strand, counting down.
TTTGTGCATTACCCAAGAGAATAACTGAAAGTAACATAAATACACTCATGATCTCCCACAACAAGCAGAGCTGAATCCCCATAGATACTTTAATCACCTGATTTCCAGTTATGTGAGATAAAGTGTTTTGTAGACCTCATAGAGTATGTGTCGCCTGAGAGCTCCATGACCATACAATTACCTCCTGGTTCCCACTTTTCAACTGATCAAGTACCTATATGATTCCATTTGGCTTCATATTAGAGGGAGCAGCCCCAGAACCAGAGTCACTTTGACCATTTATTTATTCGTCTGATTGTCAATAGTCATCTAGTAGTAACTATGGCCTTCTCCAAAACTGATACATAGCAAAGAGCCTACAACAATGTTTAGGAAAAAAACCAGTAATTATTATATTAATTGAGGTTATGATTATCACCTCTTACCAAGTATAAGAAATTGTAGGTTTCCTATTCTTTTCTTACCATAGCAGCAGTTTTCAGGCTGGATGTTGTTAGGGCTATCTTTTAATATTTTCTTTTTTATAGATTCAGCTATTGATATTCAAATGGGTTAAGAGACTTATCTACAAAGAAGGGGCAGTAAATACAGGAGTAGAGCTCTTGCTAGCTGATTCCAAAGCCAATAGCATTTTTCTTTCAATTTCCCCCTGCCTCTAAAGAACTTTAAGCCTTTTGGCCAAACGCTAAAGAACAGTCTCCAAAAAGTTGTTTTCCTTCTTTAAAGGACTTAATTTCTGATGTGACATTCACTTATATATGAAAGTGCTGGACCTGAATTTTGTATTTCTCAGGGAGAAAGGTAAGTCTCTGGATCAAATCTATTGTCTGCACAAAGTTACAGGGGCAGAGGTAACTAGAAAAATGCATCGAGGTACCCCTTTCTCCTTTGGTTTAATCAGGGATTTGGCTCTAATATTTTGACTATTTCTTTTATCTGTTTCACACATCCAGAGGCTATATATGTTGAGTATTCCTCATCTAAAATATTTGGGAACAGAAGTGTTTTGGATTTTGGATTTTTTAGAATTTTTGAATATTTGCATGTTTATGAGATATATTGGGGATGAAACCCAAATTTAAACACAAAATTCATTTATGTTTTATATACACGTTATATCCATAGCCTAAGTAATTTTACATAATATTTTAAATAATTTTTGCACATGAAACAAAGTATGTGCTACATACTTATGTGTGGAATTTTCCATTTGTAGCATCATGTTGGTTCTCAAATAGTTTTGGATTTGGAAGCATTTTAGACTTTGGATTTTTGGATTAGGGATTCCCAACTTGTGTAGAATGTGTTTACTTATCATGTGACATAAAGAAAAAGCACAAGAAGGCCTCGAGTCCCTGCTTTACAAAGAATAAGATTGCATTACTTTGAGCAAGTTAAACTATTTATTTCTCAGTTTTCTTTTTCAGGAAATATGATAATATTAGTTCTCCTAATTCTACAATTGTTGAGATAGTCAAATGGAATATCAACATAAAATTTTACCATAATCTGGAAGCCCATACTAATATTTTTTTAAAAAGAGAGACAGAAGGAATGGTGATTAATAAATGAGGAAGAAATCAGGCTTACAAGCCAGTTATAAAATGCACTGAAATAGAGATGTGCAAAATTACATAAGGCACAACTAACTATTGGAATGAGGAGACCTAATCTCATGTGCTAATTCTGTCACTAAAAACATCTGGTCATTGGACACACAATTTATAAACTATATTGTGGACCGACTGATGGTCTACAGTGTAGATGTGATTAACATCTATCACACAGTTCTGAGCAAATAAGAAAACACTTCTGTCTCCTTGGGAATGGAGAATAAGAATATTCTGAACTTAAACATAATATTTATCAGTTTAGATATCTATCTGGTCAGGAAATGTATCTCTTGCATTAATGTAAACCTGGCAATTAGCATGAAACATGGTGCTCCATTCGAAATTAGAGCTTGTAGAGAGAATAAAGAAATGAACACATCCAGAGATTTATGTTGATTGGTCAATTGGTTGGTATTACTGAAGAGTCATGTTCCTTTTTAACTTTTTGAAGATTTTTTTAAGGGTTGGAAGTAGTTATAAACATTTGTGGATCCAGTTATTATCATTTAACTGAGATCCAGAAATGTAGGTTATTTGCATGAAGCCAAGAAAACTGGTAAGTATATTTGATTCCTAATTTCATGCTATTCCATTCTTCACATTGACTTACAATGATAGATTTAATTACTCCATCAGGCAGTCAGTCAATTAAATAAATTACTGTCTTGTGCCCAGTTTAGACTGAATGTAAAAGATTTAAAGGAATTTTTCTTTGTGATAAAGAGTTAAGGCTTTAATTCAAAGTGACTTGGTTTTATATTTCACCTGTTCCAATTAATTAGTCTGATGATCTTGTATGAATCTTCCTTTTCTGTACCTTAGTTCGGTAATCTATGAAATTAGGAGTTCGGGATGAATTATCTCCAAAATCATTTTATTAAGAATGCTCTATGAATTATTGTAATTTAAAGTTGCATTTTGCGGTCATGGGCATGTTTTAGATCCGGGACTCCTGGAAACAAGTAATTACAATACTGGAATAAAGCAAAAAAATGGCATGCTGATTGATCTCAGTAGTCCTCCCTCCATTTATCATTCTGATTCTGCCTTTTCATTTCTACAGGGCAGCTACATAATTCCCAATGGAGAACAACACAGAGGTGACTGAATTCATCCTTGTGGGGTTAACTGATGACCCAGAACTGCAGATCCCACTCTTCATAGTCTTCCTTTTCATCTACCTCATCACTCTGGTTGGGAACCTGGGGATGATTGAATTGATTCTACTGGACTCCTGTCTCCACACCCCCATGTACTTCTTCCTCAGTAACCTCTCCCTGGTGGACTTTGGTTATTCCTCAGCTGTCACTCCCAAGGTGATGGTGGGGTTTCTCACAGGAGACAAATTCATATTATATAATGCTTGTGCCACACAATTCTTCTTCTTTGTAGCCTTTATCACTGCAGAAAGTTTCCTCCTGGCATCAATGGCCTATGACCGCTATGCAGCATTGTGTAAACCCCTGCATTACACCACCACCATGACAACAAATGTATGTGCTTGCCTGGCCATAGGCTCCTACATCTGTGGTTTCCTGAATGCATCCATTCATACTGGGAACACTTTCAGGCTCTCCTTCTGTAGATCCAATGTAGTTGAACACTTTTTCTGTGATGCTCCTCCTCTCTTGACTCTCTCATGTTCAGACAACTACATCAGTGAGATGGTTATTTTTTTTGTGGTGGGATTCAATGACCTCTTTTCTATCCTGGTAATCTTGATCTCCTACTTATTTATATTTATCACCATCATGAAGATGCGCTCACCTGAAGGACGCCAGAAGGCCTTTTCTACTTGTGCTTCCCACCTTACTGCAGTTTCCATCTTTTATGGGACAGGAATCTTTATGTACTTACGACCTAACTCCAGCCATTTCATGGGCACAGACAAAATGGCATCTGTGTTCTATGCCATAGTCATTCCCATGTTGAATCCACTGGTCTACAGCCTGAGGAACAAAGAGGTTAAGAGTGCCTTTAAAAAGACTGTAGGGAAGGCAAAGGCCTCTATAGGATTCATATTTTAATTATAAAGAATTCACAATAAGATAATTTTTTCCACCTCATATTAATCTTTGTCTACCAAGCCCAATATTTGGGCTTCCTCATGGACAGTTTCTATTGACTGTTTTCTTAAACATATGAATTGGCCATACTTTCTTCATTCTTTAAGTGACACTTTTTTTGTTGTTAAAATCTGGACATTTTAAATAATAAAAAATAGCATATTCTAAAAATCAGATCTCTCCTCCCATCTAGGCTTTGTTTTTGTTGGTGGTACTTTTGTTTGTTTAGTGATTTTCCTGAGTTACTTATGTTAATTCTGCATTTCTTGTTGTGTGTGGCCACTGAAATTTCTACTCAGTTAGGTTAGTGGTCAACTAACAATTGGGTAAAGTTTTTTAAGTGCTTTAAATTGCTAATTCTCTGAAGCCTTATGCATGGGCTTTGCATGTGTGTGTTGGAGCACGTTTTCAGCGCTCCAGCAGTTTAAATTCTGCCTTTAATCTTCACGTCCTCTGTGCAGAGCCTCAAGTTCAGCCACAAATGAAACATTAGGTCCTCTCAGGTCTTTCCTGTGCATACATAAGGCCTTGCCCATATGCATGATTTTTGTAATCCCCAGGAATGTATGGGAGCTTTTCAAAGCCCTCTATGGATTTCTAAAGCCGTCATCAATTTTTTTTAAGAGTTTGGTTAGATTATTGTATGCTCCAACTGATATTTACATTTTCAGGCAATTGCAATGTTAAACAATTGCTGTTCAACGCTTTGACAAACACTCTAGGAATAAAACTTTTTCACTGAGTGAACTGAGTCTGGTGAAATAGGGACAAAATTGTGAATGGAGTTTTCCTAGGAAGCTGCCAAATAGGTGAAACAGTGACAATTCCCTGGGAAGCAGGCCCATTAGCAATCTCCAACACATTTTGTTCACTTCAGTGGTTGTTAGGCCAATGTTTTTTTCAGCTACCATAGTTCCATGTGTGCTGGTTTTCAAGGTTACCACAGAGCTGATGGATAAAGCAAGCTAACATGCCACAAAACTCACCGTTGATACTGAGATTCAGTCATTGTTTTTGAATGAATACTCCTTGAATTGTTGCATGTCCTTGGTTAGTTTCTAGAGTTTCAAACATTTTTATTATACACAGTTTTGCCTGTGCTATAATTGCTTTTATGGAAGAGCAGATTTTTGGAGGTCCTTGCTTTGCCATTCTGGAAATATTTATTCTATCCTTTAAATTTTTATTTATTTATTTTTTATTTTTGATACAGAGTCTTGCTCTGTTGCCCAGGGAAAAGTGCAGTGGCACCATCTCAGCTCACTGAAACCTTCACCTCCTGGCTTCAAGATATTCTCATGCCTCAGCCGCCTGAGTAGCTGGAATTACAGGCATGCACCACCATGCCTGGCTAAATTTTTGTATAATATTTTTAGTAGAGATGGTGTTTCACCAAGTTGGCCAGGCTGGTCTTGAATTCCTGGCCTCAAGTGATCTGCCTGCCTTGGCCTCCCAAAGTGCTGGGATTACAGGCATGAGCCACGATGCCTGGCCTTATTCTATCCTTTTAAATTTAAGGTTCCTCTGTTATAATCCTCTCTGAGAAAATTGTTTTATTTTTTTCATAATATATATTATAATTTATAATTATATATTTATCTGTGAGTTTAAGTTTTTAATGTCTCCCCATTAGACCAAAGTCTATTTATGCACGGACCTTTTTTTTTTGCTGTGTATACTATGGATTTAACAAAATGTCTAACACCTATACGTGTCATATTCAGATTGCTGAAAACCAAATATAAGAAGAAAATTATAAATACATTCAGAGGAAAAAAGACACATTACATACAGAGGATCAAAAACAAGATTCACCGCAGATTTCTCATCAGAAACAGTGCATGCCAGAAAACATCTGTCAAATGCTGAAATAATAAAGAAACCCTGTTAAACAAAGTGAATATATTCAAAAATAAAAGAGAAATAAAGACATTTTTCAGACACACATGCTGAAAGTTCATTGTCAGCAGCCCTTCACTGCAAGAAATATTGAAGGAATTTCTTCAGGCATAAGAAATATGATGCCAATTGGTAATTTACATTGGCACAAAGAAATGAAGAGGACTGAAAATGAGATAAATGAAGACAGACAGACATAAGACCTACTCTTTTTGTATTTTTAATTGTTTAAAAGATGATTGTCTAAATCATAAATAGGAATATACTGTATATTTATTTATAGAAAACATAAAAGGAAAATGTGTAACAATAATATAAAGTATTAGAGTGCATAATTGGCAGTATAAGTTTGCAACATCCTTAAACTACTCGTAAAATGGCACAGTATTACAAAGAAGCATATTTTCATGAATTCTAAACATATATTGTAAACTCTAGGGCAATAACTAAAACAATTTTTAAGAGAGGTATTTAATAATAAGTTAATAGTGGAGATGAAACGGAATCATAAAGATCGTTAATAATTTAAAAAGGAAAAGAAGACAAAAGAAACAAAGAAAAGATGGAAAAAATAGAAAAAAAACTAGGAAAATTGTACGTTTTTTTGTTTGTTTGCTTGTTTTGTTTTTGTTTTTTGAACAGAACCATGCTCTGTCACCCAGGCTGGAGTGCAATGGTGCGAGCTCAGTTCATGGTAACCTTCGCCTCCCAGGTTCAATAGATTCTCCTGCTTCAGCCTCCCAAGTAGCTGGGATTACAGGTGTGTATCATCATGCCTGGTTAATTTTTGCATTTTTAGTAGAGACAGGGTTTCACCATGGTGGTCAGGCTGGTCTTGAACTCCTGGCCTCAAGTGATTCACCTGCCTCGGCCTCCCAGAGTGCTGAGATTACAGGCGTGAGCCACCCACTCCTGGCCTGATGTTAGATTTTAATTCATTGCGTCAATGAGTACATTAAATATAGTGTAAACTTAGCAAATTGAAAAAGAATGTTAGATATTTTTTTTTAAAAAAAAAGACCCACTGCATGCCATTTACAAGAAATTTACTTTAAATATAAAGGCATAAAATTAGTGTACTTGAAATAAGCCACTGGTATACTTGAGCTTGTTTTTTTTTTTTTTTTTTTTTGTCATTTTCCAGTATAATAACCTAGTATTATGAATTGGTATTTAATAAGAAAGCCTGAGAACTGAGCCAAATATGCTCCTCTTTCATGGCTTTTCTTTTTATTTTCTTTCCCAGCGAATTGAGTTGGAATTCCTCTACTGAACATAGCTGATAAAACATCATGGCCAGTGCATAAGTAAGTCGAGATAATGTGAGTAAGCAGAGACAAAGAAGGATGTCTGTTTTCCCCCATATTTAAGACATGGCATTATAATGTCATCTCTTTGATGTTTGGTATGTGGTGCCAAGCAGTCTAGTCATGGCCTGCTTGGGAGTTTAAGAGATATGAGAAGGCATTTCATAACATAGAGCAGAAGTGGCAGTGGAACCTGATAAGTTTCTCTCCACCATCACTATCACTGCCTATCATGAATGTGGGTGGTATGTGGGAGAGAGAGGTGACAACCTTGGATGTACACAACAGAAATCAACTCTGGCTAACTTAAACAAAAAAGAATTTATTTGAAGAATAATGGTGTGCTCCCAGAATCAAGGAGAAAGTTGGATAATTAAGCTGGAAATAATTAAAGGAAGCGAGAGGGCAGAAACCAGAGGCAAGATCAAACCACTGGAACAGTTTGGTTAAAACAATTCTTCCAGCAAGTTGACCACTTCTATCCTTTTACACTAGTACCTTTGGTCACCACTATCAGTGGTGCTTTTAGACTTTTGCTAATGCCACAAGCCACAGTATGCAGTACAAATAAATTCTAACTATCCTGACTTCTGGGTGTTACTCACTGCATGCTGTTGACTGAGACAAGTTTGCTGGCAGCTAAGCTGTGAGCATGGTAAGCAGAATTTCAAAAGGAACTGTTCTCATTTATATAGCATCCTCGTACAATTGCACTGTTCTTTGTGTTTTACATATCATAACTCATTTGATCCTGACAACTCCATGGCAAGGTAGTATTGTTATTATTATCATTTTATTAATGAGGAAAGTATGACTTAATAACATTAAGACATTTGCCCATGTTCCAGGACAATTTAGGCAGAACCAGGATTTGAATCCATGTCATCCTGAAAACTGTTTTTTTGTTTGTCTCTTTGTTTCTGTTTTGTTTTTTGTTTTGTTTTGTTTTGTTTTGTTTTTGAGATTGGGTCCTGCTCTGTTGCTTAGGTTGGAGTGCAGTCGCCATCTCAGCTCACTGCAGCCTATGCTTCCCAGGTTCAAGCAATTCTCCTGCCTCAGCCTTCCGAGTAGCTGGGACTACAGGCAGGTGCCACCACTCCTGGCTAATTTTTGTATTTTTAGTAGAGACAGGTTTTCACCATGTTGGCCAAGCTGGTCTTGAACTCCTGACCTCAAGTGATCCGCCCACCTCAGCCTCCCAAAGTGCTGGGATTACAGGCATGAGCCACTGTGCCCAACTGAAGACTATTATACAGTTTTCCACCAGGTTTCACATAGTAGGAAACTATAAAACAGTTCTTGAACAGTGTTACACAGTCTTCCACCAAGTTTCACGTAGCAGGAAACTATAAAAAATAGGAAGACTTGGGATAAAGGACTTCCAGAAAAAAATGTTATATGTCTGCTTCTGGTGGCCTTGTTATAGACTATCTCTGCATAAAAATACATCTGGAAGGTTTTTGATGAGTACTAGGGTTTTTCGACTTTATATCTCAGTGGATAAATTCAGTACGCTACAGATAAGAGTGTTTCCCAATTTGCTTTGTCAGCTTAAACAGTGTACATTTTAATTCTCTTCTGTTTTATTTTTAGCTTGTTAATTATTTAAAACAACTCCAACCTCATAATTATGTTGCAAGATATTTGGAATTAACTCGTTGTGGCTTCCAATGTCCCTAAGGGATATATTATGTATTTTGGAGATAATGAACACTCTTAGAAATGAATGGAGGCTCTTTCATAAAAAAGTATGACTTTATAATTTTTTTATAGCTAGTGTGTTTGTTCACAGTTTAGTATGTACCCGGCTCTGTTTTAAGCACTTTATTAATTTATGTGCTCCTACCAACCATATGCATTAAGCACTACCATCATCTTCATTTTATTTTTATTTGTATAAATTTAATGAATACAAGTAGAATTTTGTTATATGGATATATTGTGTAGTGTTGAAGTCTGGCCTTTTGAAGTAACCATCACCTGAATAATGCAACTGTATTCATCAAGAAATTTTTCATTTGTCACCGCCCCTCCCCCCTCCCCCTCCCCCCTCCCCACTTCCTACCCTTCTGAGTCTGCATTGTCTATTATTTCACACTGTATGTTCATGTGTACACATTATTTCACTTCCTCTTATAAGTAAGAACATGCGGTATTTGACTTTCTGTGTTATTTCTCTAAAGACAACAGCTTCAAGTTCCATCCATGTTGTTGCAAAACACATGATTTTATTCTTTTTTATGGTTGAGTGGTATTCCATGGTGTGAGTGTATATATATGTGTGTGTTTATACATATACATATGTGATATATATATATATAACATTTTCTTTATCCCGTCGTCTATTGATGGACACTTATGTTGAGTCCATATCTTGGTTATTGTGAATAGTGCTTTGATAAAAATACAAGTGCAGGTATATTTTTTATATAAAGATTTTTTTCCTTTGGATAGATAGCTAGTAGTGGGATTGCTGGATTGAATGGTAGTTCTATTTTTAGTTATTTGAGAAATCTCCACATTGTTTTCCATAGTGCTTGTACTAATTTACATTTCCACCAACAGTGTATAACTGTTTTTTTTCTACAGCCTCACCCAAATCTGTTATTTTTTGACTTTTTAAACAATAGCAATTCTGCCTGGTATAAAATGATATCTCATTGTGATTTTAATTTGCATCTCTATGATGATTAGTGATGTTGAATATTTTTCATGTGCTTGTGGGCAATTTCTATGTCTTCTTTTGAAAAATATCTCTTTATGTCCTTTGTCCACTTTTTAATGTTTTTTCTTACTGTTCTTGTTATTGTTTACTTATTTGAATCCTTTATAGTTTCTAGATTAAAATTAGTCCCTTCTTGGATGCATAGTTTGAAAATATTTTCTCTCATTGTGCAGGTTTTCTCTTCACTCTATTCAGCTGTGCAGAAGCCTTTCAGTTTAATCAAGTCATATTTGTCTATTTTTATTTTAGCTGCCTGTGCTTTTGAGGTTTTCATGAATCCTTTGCCTAGCCCAATGTCCAGAAGAGTTTTTCCTAGGTTTTATTCTAGTATTTCTACAATTTCAGGTCTTACAGTTAAGTCTTTAATCCAACTTGAGTTGATTTTTGTATATGGTAAGAGATAGGAGTCAGTTTCATTCTTCTGCAAAGGAAAATTCTATTTTTCCAGCACCATTTATTGAAAAGTGTATCCTTTCTCAAATGCATGTTTTGTCAACATTGACAAAGATCTGTTGGTTGTAGGTATGTAGCTTTATTTTTTGTTCCTATATTCTGTTCCATTCATCTATGTGTCTACTTAGAAACCAGTACCATGCCGTTTTGGTTTCTGCAGGCTTGCAGTATAACTTCAAGTCAGATGATGTGATGACACCAGCTTTGTTCTTTTAGCTTAGCATTATTTTGGCTATTTGAGCTCCTTTTTTGATTCCATATGAATCTTATGACTGTATTTTTCTAATTCTGTGAAAAATTACATTAGTATTTTGGTAGAAAATGCATTGAGTCTGTAGATTCCTTTGGACAGTATGGTCATTTTTATCATATTGATTCTTCCAATTCAGGAGCATGGAACGTTTTTCCATTTGTTTGTGTCATCTATAATTTCTTTCATCAATGTTTTGTAGTTTACATTGTAGAGGTGTTTTACCTCTTTGTTTAAATATATTTCTAGGTATTTTTTGCACATATTGTAAATTGATTGATGTCTTGATTTGATTCTCAGCTCAATTCAAGCTGAGAATCAAGCTTACAAATGAATTAAGTAAAGTTTAAGGTTATATAATCAACGTACAGAATTCAGTAGCATTTCTATACAAATGCTACTCATTTTGAAATGCTACTGAATTTTGTATGTCGGTTATATAGAAATGCTACTGAATATTTTATGTTGATTATATAACCCTAAACTTTACTTAATTCATTTATCGGATCTAAGAATTATTTGGAGGAGTCTGTGAGATTTTTTACATACAAATCATATCATCAGCAAACAGAGATAATTTGACTTTCTCTTTTCTAGTTTGAATGCATTTAATATTTATTCTTGCATGATTGCTCTGGCTATGACTTCCAGGGTTATGTTGAATTGGAGTGATGAAAATGGTCATCCTTGTTTTGTTCCAATTCTTAGGGAGAATGAGTTCAAGTTTTCTCCATTCAGTATGCTGTTGGCTATGTGTTTTTCATGTATAGCTTTTATTATTTCGAGGTATGTTCCTTCTATGTCTGATTTTTTGAAAGTTTTTATCATAAAAGGATGCTGAATTTTATCAAATGCCTTTTCTGGATTTATTTATAGGATCATAGGGTTTTTGTTTTTAAATTCTGCTTATGTAATTAATCACATCTATTGATTTGTGTATGTTGAACCATCCTTGCATCCCTGAATAAAACCTACTCGATTGTGGTATATTATCTTCTTGATATGCTGTTATACATATATCTCAATATATGTGCAAAATCCTTACATACAAAATCCTTAACAAAATGCTAGCAAATGATGTATACTTTTGAGGATTTTTGCATCTATGTTTATCAGGGATTGGTCTGTAGTCTTCCATTTTTATATCCTTGCCAGCTTTGGTATCAGACTCATACTAGCTTTGTAGAATGAGTTAGGGAAGATTCTCTCCTCTCTGATTTCTCAGAAGAGTTTCAAAAGATTGCTATTATTTCTTTTTACCTTTGGTGGAATTCGGTTGTGAATTTATCTGGTCCTGAGCTTTTTTGTTGGTGTTGTTGGGAAGTTTTATATTACTGATTTAATCACTCATTATTGCTCTGTTCAAGATTTTTCTCTCCCATTCAATCTTAGGAGGTTATTTGTTTCCAGGAATTTATTCATGTTCTCTACGTTTCTAGTTTGTGAGTGCAAAGTTGTTCATGGCAGCCTCTGATGATCTGTGGTATTAGCTGTGGTTTTAGCTGTAATGTATTCTTTTTTATTTTGGATTATGTTTATTTGGATCTCTTCTCCTGTTTTTCTTAGGTAGTTTAGCTAGTGGTTTGTCTATTTTATTTGTTTTTGACCTGATTTCATTTAGTTCTACCCTGATCTCTGTTATTTGTTTTATTCTGGTAGCTTTGGATTTTGTTTGTTCTTGTTTTACTAGTTCCATGAGGTACAATGTTATGTTGCTAATTTGTGATCTTTCTATTTTTTGATGTAGGCATTTAATACTATAAACTTCTCTCTTATCACTGCTTTTGCTGTTTTCAATATGTTTTGGTATGTTTTGTGTTTCCATTTTTATTTATTCCAAAAATTTTTAATTTATGACTTAATTTAGTAACAAACCTAAATATTGTTTAGGAATATATTGTTTACTTTCCATGTATTTGTATAGTTTCCAGAGTTCCTCTTGGTATTGATTTCTAGTTGTATTTGGCTATGCTCTGAGAAGACACTTGGTATAATTTCAACTTTTAAAAAGTTGAATACTATATTGAGACTTGTTTTGTGACATATCTTGGAGAATGTACCATGTGCCCATGAAAAAACTACATTTTACTTTTGTTAGTTACACTGATCTGTAAATGTTTGTGATGTCCATTTGGTCAAAAATTTAAGTCCAATGTTTCTTTGTTAATTTTATGTTTTGATAACCTGTCTAGTGCTATCAGTGGGGTAAGTCCCCCATTTTTATTGCATTTCTGTATGTTTCTTTCTTTATGTCTAGTAATTTTTTTATGACTCTGGGTGCTGTTCCATTTTTAGGTGCACATATATTCAGAATTTTTATATGTTCTTGCTGATTTGATCTCTTTATCATTATATAATGGCCTTATTTGTATTTTTTATCATGGTTTATTTTAAGTCTGTTTTACCTGATATAAGTGTAACTACTACTACCCACTTTTGGTTTTCATCTGTGTGGAATATCTTTTCCACCTGTTTACCTTCAGTCTATAACTGTCTACCAACCAGTAAGGTGAGTTTCTTTTAAGTAGCATGTAGTTGCTTCATGTTTTTATCCATGTCATCAATGTATATCTTTTAAGTGGAAAATTTTAATTCATTTATTGTTAAGGTTAATATTGTCATGTGAGCTTTTGTTTCTGACATAATGTAGATTGTAATCTAGCTGTTTTGTAGATTCTTCATTTCTTTTTTTCCTTTGTCTTTGTGCTTTAGTGGAGTTTTGTCATGTAGTCATTGGATTTCCTTTTTTTACTTTTTGTAATTTTGTGTTTATATGATGGTGAATATTGACATTTTGTATCCACATTTAGAACTCCTGCAGAATTTCTTATAGGGCCAGTCTAGTGGTAATGAATTCCCTCAGCATTTGATTGTCTGAGAAGAACTTTATTTCTCCTCCATTTATGAAGCTTATTCTGAATAGGATATAAAATTGGTGGTTGACAGGGTTTTTTTTTTCCTTTAAGTACTTTAAAAATAGAATCTCTATTTTTTCTGGCTTGTAAGGTTTCTGCTTTTAAAGTCCACTATTATTCTAATGGTGTTTTCTTTATAGATGACTAGACACTTTTCTCATGCTGATTTTAGGATTTTTCTTTCATGTTGACTTTAGACAATCTGATGACTATATGTCATGTTGAGGTCCTTTTTACAATGTATTTTCCTGTAGTTTGTTGGGCTTATTGTATCTGGATGTGTAAATCTCTTCCCAAACTCGGGAAACTTGTTGTCAATTATTTCCTTAAATAGGGTTTCTGAACTTTTTGCTTTTTCTTCTCCCTTGGAAATACTTATACTTCATATGTTTGGTTGCTTTATGTAGTCCCATACTTCTTAAAGGCTTTGTTTGTTCTTCTTTATTCTCCTTTCTTTATTTTTGTCTGATTGAATTAATTCAAAAGACCTGTCTTCAAATTTTGAGATTCTCTTCTCTGCTCGTTCTAGTCTATTCTTAAGGCTTTCAACTGTTCTTCATAATTCTTTCAGTGAAATTTTCATTTCCAGAAGTTGTTTGTTTCTTTAAGATCTCTACCTTCTTGGTAAATTTCTAGCTCATATCAGGAATTGATTTTCTGATGTCTTTGCATTGGTATTCAGTTTTCTCTTATGTCTTATAGAACTTCTTTAAAATCAGTATTTTGAATTCTTTATCTGACATTTTGAAGATTTCTTATTGGTTCAAATCCATTGCTAGAGAATTACTGTGCTCCTTTGGAGGTGTTATAGCACTTTGTTTTTCATACTTCCAGTATTATTATCCTGATTTCTTTGCATCTGGAGAATTAGTCACTTCTATTATTGAATTTACTTTCATTGGGGTGTGACTTATTTTTCTTGGGAATGTGACTATAATGTATGCTGAGTAGGGTTATTTGGCTTTGTTTCTGGCTGTCTAAACTGGTGTAGACTCTGTATGATTTTCTTGTTTGTAAATATCCTTAGTGTACTGGTTTGGGTGTCCCAGATAATGATTTGGGCTATGGAACACACAGTGGTCCTGGTTCCATGCTTTGTATCCAAGGCAAGAGGGCAAAGCTGGGCAGTGTTGGGTTGTGCAAGTCTGCACTTGAACCCCACGATGGCATGTACAAGTGCTGGCCCTTACAAGGTTCAGAGAGCAATCCTCAGACCTCTGAAGAAACGCTCCAGCAATAAGCAGAGCAACTGCTGCTATGCCAATGACCCCATGAGGGAAAGAGTACATCCTAGGCTCCATGGCCTATCAAGGGGTAGTAAGACCCAGTTTGCTCTCATTAAACCCAGCAGGGCTCTTTCCCACAGCTGGACACTAGCAGTGCGTTGGGACAGTTAGCCAACTCAAATGCACTTTGCCTTTAGAGTGTGAAAATGCCTCAGGCTGCAAAACTTGCTACCGTGGTCAAAACCACTCCTCTCAGACTCAAACCCTCCTGGTCTTGTCCTGCAAGGTGGATTCCCAATTCCATTGTCCACAGCTGAAGCCCATGCTATTCTTGCCTCTCCATTCTGGCCATGTGGATTCCTCCTCCAATCAAGGTAAGATCACAAATCTCTGGCTAACAACTCTACAAACCAGTGACTGACACCAATGCTAGCTGGCAGGTTCCTGTGCAACCCACTATGAGTTAGCATCAGGAATGACCTCCTTCCATTGGTCCTTAAGTCTGAGAGTGCATGTGGGGTACTTCCCAGTGCTCTTCCTTCTCACAGTCCCTTGACTGTTCCCCAAGTCTGATCCAGGTTTTGGGAAACTCAAAAAGTTCCCGATAGCCTAGGTTGCCTGGCTTCCTGGTGGGTATGTGTATTGTGGAGCACTCCCCCTCTCACATATGGAGGGACTGATTCACAGTTTTCCATTTGGGCTGCTGTCTGTCTTGTTTTCAGCAGTATACAAAGTTTTCTTTCACTTTTATATTGAACAATCATGTTTCTACTTGGATGCAAATTCACAGTGTGAATCTCTACACACCACTTGCTATTTCCAAGTGAGCAAGGATTCTGGCAAAGCATCCATTCTGCTATCTCAGAAAAAAAATACTCATCTCTGTTTTATTAATGAGAGAACTGAAGTGCGTAAGTGTTTATACAACCTATAATCTCAATATGAACTTTGTGAAGTTATGCTGCCATCGGCCAACGAAACTTACATAACACTTTAGCCTAGTTTCCATTATGCCACTCATGATTCTGTCTGATTTCTGCCAGGAAAGTTAATGATGAATCTTTTCTGAAGATGTTCACATTACCAAGAAGAAATAACCCTGAGTAAAGTAAATACACTGGTGTTCTTCCTAAGAAAATGGAACCAGGCTTTCATATGCAGTTTAATTATTGCTTCTCTAGATGATTGGAGTGAGAGACTGTGGTTATTCTCATGGGTAACTTGTCCCCTGAGAACTTTATGTACGTTCAAATTCCTCAATTATTGTTAGTTCCCAGTCATTGGTCTCTAACATCCCAACATGACTCTATTTAACATCATGTTAGAGGTTCCACCCTGTGTGTCACCTTTTGGTGATCATTTATTGATCTCAGTGTAAAAGGTTGTCCATTGTACTAAGTGGCCTTATTTCACACTGGTATATTACTCTGAGTCTGCAACAATGGCCAGGGATAAGACCCCCAGCTAAAAATGATGTTCATTGCAGATACGATGATCCCTTCTTACAGCTCTTTAGGACTTTACAGAGTGCATTCAGAGACTTCTATTTTTCCTCACAGCAGCAGCCCTGTGTGACAAGTTGGAGAATATTTTCTAATCTCCACCTAGTCATTACTTTTTCCTTAAATCTCCCTCCCTCTAGAGAACTTCAATATTTGTGACTAGACATTAAATAATAACTTCTTAAATAGGAGCTTTTCTTTCTTCTTTGAGTAGGACTTGCAATTTGAAGATACCAACTGAAAGTGTGTCATCTTCCTTGAAGAGCAAGGTAAGTTTCTAGCTCTGTTCTACGGTCTGTTTAGGTTGTAGTAATAGAATATGTGTTATATAAAAGTTCAAGGGCAAACATTTTCCCATTGAGTAATCAGAGTTCAGTTTCCCAGCTTTTAATATTTTCATGCTATCACGCTATTTAGCCACAGTCCAGGTGTTACAACAATCTCCATTAATTGGGAAAATGGTGATTTTATTCAAATAATAGAAGATGGTATTATTCTCATCATTTAAAATTCATATGCTTAGAGGGCAACAGACATTGGTGCCTATCGAAGGGTGGAGGATAGGAGGAGGGAGAGGATCAGAAAAAAAATAACTAATGGGTCCCAGGCTAATACCTGAGTGATGAAATAATCTGTATAACAAACCCCCATGATGCAAATTTACCTATGTAACAAGCCTGTACATGTATCCCTGAACTTAAAATAAAAGCAAAAAAACAAAAAACAAAACCCTTATACACACAAAAAATCCATGTGCTTAGAAGAACATTTAGAAAATGATGGGCACTCTAAATACTTGTTGAGGCAATGAGAGAATGTATCTAAATGAATAAATGAATAAATAAATAAGTCAGCAAATGATCAGTGAGCACATTATAAAATACATGGTTCTGTGTTACTGAAGCACAGTCTCATGCCTAACTTTGCACAGGCTATTCAGAGGCTCTTGATTGAAGGCTTTAGATTTTTTAAAATAAGGAGTCCACACGATTTACATTGTGACCCATAATGTATGACTGCATGCATGTGTACACACGCACATACACACACAGCAAAATCAAAACTTACATGGAACCCTATTTTTCACCTACAATGCACCTTTACTTTCTATTTTTTTATGCTAAATGAGCTAATGTATGCAAAATACATAAAAGAGAATCTGCACATAGTGAGTGATTTATGTGTTAAAGGTCATTCCTAACAATAGCAGTTATATTTAATTTAGTTTATTGATGCTAGTGTTTTTTTATTCTGTCTTTCCTTGCCATAGAGAACTTGGAGCTTTTTTTGACCACTACCTGAGACATATTTTTTTTCTAATGTTATTTATGCATTATTTCATGACCGAATTTCCAATTTTAGACCTAGTATTCAGGATTGACTATCTCTTTTTTTCCAGGCACAAGGTAAACTTCTATGTTCCATATATACATTTAGTAAAAGAGGGAATTTGTGCAAAAGCAGTGGGACGGCTATAGATACTATATTATTTCAGAACAGAAGTAGATGCTTTAAATATTTTTTTTCTAAAAACATATGCTGAGGCTGGAGTATAGAGATGTCAAAACTTCCATTGGTAGGGTGTTCAGTGATACTGCTTCCCTAAAGAAGATGAAAAAAATGAGATAGATGATGCTCTGATTAAGTAGGTGGTAATTTCATCTTATTCACTATTGGTTAGGCTTCTACTTGAAGTAAAACAAACAAAAATAACAGAAGTGTGAATTGACAGCTCTTCAAACTACAAAAGGATCTAAGTAAGTTAGCAAGATGCATACAGAATTGTAACCTTTCCCCCATAATCTCATCCTTATTATGACTAGCAATCTAATGCTCATTGTGAAGTAGCTAAAAGCACAAATTTTGATTAGGTTGGAACTTGGTTTCAATTGTGAATCTTGACTGTTCTCCATACTAGTTGTATAATTGTAGAATATCACAAAACTTTTCAAATATCAAATTCTTATAATGGTAAAATAGTAATAACAATAATACTTATCACACACAAACACACACATGTAAACGTTTATATAAAAAGTTCTTAACATCTGTTGTAGAACATAGTATATTCTAAAAGTGATTATGTGATTTAAGTTTGGCAAACATAATGCTTTCATGGGCTAAACTTATGCAGTGTGGAAAGACAGTAGGCAGTAGTAGTTAGCAGATGAATAGTAGTTAGAGGATGAATGCCCTTTCTAATTTAAAACACTATTCATATGCAAGAACTGATCTAAATAATAATTTTATAGCTTACAACCTGCCACCAAAACAGATCTGCAGACTAAAGGAAACCCACGAACGATGCATTTTAAACTATAAGGGTCAACTAAGAGATGACATAAATGAAAGAAAAGCATGAGTTTAAGTAAAGGAGATGCTGCGAAACCAAGCTAAAATGTAAATTTCAAGGAAGAAATTAAACAGAAGAATGGTTCACATAGAATTCTGGAACAGTCTATCATTTGGGTGAAAAAAAAGACAGAATGAGAATTATTGGGAGGCACAGAAAATCTCAGTAGCCCTGGTATGTGAGGAAAGACAAATTGAAGAAGGGGCTATAAGACTTCAAAATTTACCAACACACAAAGCCCTGCCATCCTCCTTTATGAAACTAACAGATCATCATTCCATTCTAACGATAATATTATAGCTAGCTCTCATCAGACTGTGCTAAACATTTAACATTTTGTTTATTGTTGTAAAAATGTATAACATTGAATTTTCAAAATAATGCCTTGAGGTTGATCTCATTAATATTTTCATTCTGCAGATAAAATAAATAAGGTTCAGGGAAGTTAGTGTGGGACCAATGCTGCCTAGGCAGTAAATGGTAGGGCTGATAAGCACCTCTTCCCAATCCCAAACTCTATATCTGATGCTGCCTTCCCCTCAGAATTGCCTTTGCTAGTTGCACATTTCCCTACTTCTCCAGCTATCCTGAGACCCTTAATGTGCATTTTCCTCTCAGTTACCTCACTGTGAAACCTGCCTAAGTTTGCACCAACAAAGACAATGAGTAATTGTAAATTGCTTCAAATTCAATCTGATTTAGATTCAATTTAGACCATTGAGCTTGAGAACGACTCTCCTGAGCCAGAAGATAGGCTTGACTATTAACACTTGTGTACATATGAATAAATGACTTAATCTTGTGAGCCTCACAAATTAAATAAATGTAATAACGAATCAACCTCATTATATTGTTGAGAGGAATCAATATACATACAAATTGCCTAGAGCGGTTCCCAGTATGTGAGCAACATAAATGTATAAGTTTTACCAGATTAGGGAAAACTGAATTGGCAGAAAAATTAGTTCCAGATGAGTCATCTTGGACACATCATTAAATATACTACATAGCAGTTTATAAATTTATAAAATGGAAACATTGGGATATTATTTATAAAGATCCCCTGGATTCAGCAGATTACAACTCTGTAGATAATGCATTAAAGATTGTTACCAAGCCTATGCTTTAGATCTATAGAATTTTGAAGTACAAATTGTTGCTATAATTACATAATGCATATAGTATTTATATATTTCTAAATCTCTTTTTTTGTTTATCACTCTATTGCTTTATTTCTCATTGCTACAGGTCATCTTAAGTTTCTCAGATAATACTGATGGAGAATTGTACGGAAGTGACAAAGTTCATTCTTCTAGGACTAACCAGTGTCCCAGAACTACAGATCCCCCTCTTTATCTTGTTCACCTTCATCTACCTCCTCACTCTGTGTGGGAACCTGGGGATGATGTTGCTGATCCTGATGGACTCTTGTCTCCACACCCCCATGTACTTTTTCCTCAGTAACCTGTCTCTGGTGGACTTTGGATACTCCTCAGCTGTCACTCCCAAGGTCATGGCTGGGTTCCTTAGAGGAGACAAGGTCATCTCCTACAATGCATGTGCTGTTCAGATGTTCTTCTTTGTAGCCTTGGCCACGGTGGAAAATTACTTGTTGGCCTCAATGGCCTATGACCGCTATGCAGCAGTGTGCAAACCCCTACACTACACCACCACCATGACGGCCAGTGTAGGTGCCTGTCTGGCCCTAGGCTCATATGTCTGTGGCTTCCTAAATGCCTCATTCCACATTGGGGGCATATTCAGTCTCTCTTTCTGTAAATCCAATCTGGTACATCACTTTTTCTGTGATGTTCCAGCAGTCATGGCTCTGTCTTGCTCTGATAAACACACTAGTGAGGTGATTCTGGTTTTTATGTCAAGCTTTAATATCTTTTTTGTTCTTCTAGTTATCTTTATCTCCTACTTGTTCATATTCATCACCATCTTGAAGATGCATTCAGCTAAGGGACACCAAAAAGCATTGTCCACCTGTGCCTCTCACTTCACTGCAGTCTCCGTCTTCTATGGGACAGTAATCTTCATCTACTTGCAGCCCAGCTCCAGCCACTCCATGGACACAGACAAAATGGCATCTGTGTTCTATGCTATGATCATCCCCATGCTGAACCCTGTGGTCTACAGCCTGAGGAACAGAGAAGTCCAGAATGCATTCAAGAAAGTGTTGAGAAGGCAAAAATTTCTATAAGTTTGGAATTTTAACATTGTTGTATACACAAAAATGTTGTTTCCCTCATCTCAGACTTTCCTCATGCAATGAGTTACATTTGAAACCCCACAATACATTTAAGTTCATGAGGTGATATTCTTACCTCTTTAGAAGTCAATTTTTTAATAAAAATAAAATATTATCAGAAATGTAATACCTGAATGAGGAAGGCTAAATGGAAATGTTAGAATTTTTGGAACTTGCTGGTCAAAACTTACTAATGACATTCGGTTTACTCACTTGTTCCCCTTGCATTTTTTCTACCACATTCCAGTGCAAACATACTTGTTAAACAGGGACACCAACAAGCCCACAAAAAAGTACATGTTTATGCCTCTTGTGGGCACATAGGCATTAGAAGGAGAAATTTACTCAGAAGTAAATGGAGTGTGGCTAGTTTTTATATAAAGGATGTAAGTAATTAATTTAGTATTATAGTATAAATTTATTTTTGAATAGACTTTAAGAACAGTTTTATGTTCACAGCAAAATGGAGAGGTAAGTACAGAGATTTCCCATATACCTTCTGCCCCCACATACATATACCCTCCCTCATTGTCAATATCCTCCAACAGAGTGCTACATTTTTTACAATTGATGAACCTACATTGACACATCATTATCATCTCAAGACCATAATTTACATTAGGATTCACTCTTGCTGTTGTCCCTTCTATGGATTTGAATAAATGTATAATGACATCTATTTATCATTATAGTATCATATTGAGTAGTTTCACTGCTCTAAAGCTCTTCTATGCTCTACTTACTCATTCTTCCTTCTTCCCTAACCCCTGACAACTACTGATCTTTTTCTGTCTCCACAGTTTTGCTTTCTCCAGAATGTCATATAGTTAAAATCATATGGTATGTAACCTTTCCATATTGGCTTATTTCACATAGTAATATGCATCTGTTTTCTCCATAACTTTTCGTGGCTTGATAGCTCATTTCATTTTAGCACTGAATATTGTCTATTGTCAAGTGGTATCACACTTTATTCATGTACCTACTGAAGGATATTTTGGTTGCTTCCCTAGTGTTGGCAGTTATGAATAAAGCCGCTATAAACACCTGTGGTTTAACTGGTATTTTCTTTCTCCAACCTTGCTGGATGTTCTGCTGGTTTTCATTGCTTGCTTTTATCTTGTACTCATACTCTGAATATAGATGTTCTTCAATTCTCCATCCTGAGATGCTTATATTTTCAGGTTTTTATTAAACTTCTCACTGACATCTCAAAAATAACATGTATAAAACTAAAATCTTGGTTTTATTCCCCAAATCTAGATTCTGATTGTACTTAGAGTAAATTTTCTAACTGTGGCCTACAAAAGTTGCTTAACCTCTCTGCTGCCACTTCTTTCATTTTCTCCCAAATTTCTCCTTGCTCTCTATGATCCAGCAAATTAATCTTTGTTCATTTATTGAACACAAGAAGCACATTCACATTCACACTGCAGAATGCTGTCCATCTTGGCCTCTTTGCCTGCCATGTTCTTTCCTTATATGTCATTTTAAATACGATATACTCAGAGAGCCCAATTTAACTAAGCATCTAAAATTATGATCTCCCATGTCCATTAGCCTCTATTTCAGCATCATGGCTTCTTTTCTTTTAATTGTGATAAGAACTCTTATAATAAGATCTACTCTTTTAATAATTTTTAAGTGTACAATATAGTATTGTTAATTATAGGTACTATGTTGTAAGCAGATCTCTAAAACGTATTCATTTTTTATAACTGAAACTTTATACCCGTTTAACCGTAGCTTATCCCCCTATTTCCCCCACTCCCACCACAGTCCCTGACAGCCACCATTCCACTCTCTTTTTCTGTATGTCTGACTATTTTAAATACCTTACGTAAGTAGAACCATGCAGTATTTTGTCCTTCTATGACTCGCTTATTTCACTTAGCATATTGTCCTCCAGGATCATCCAACTTGTCAAATACAGCAGGATAGTCTTCCTTTTATTGAAATATAATAATTCTACATATTTTTGGGGCACAATGTGGTGTTTTGACAAATGTATACATTGTATATTGATGAAAATTAGCATAGTAATCACCTTAAACATTTATCATTTCTTCGATGTAAGAACGTTCAAAATCCCCTCTTCTAGATATTTGAAAATATATTATGCATTTTTGTTAGCTAGACTCACCCTACTGCACAATAGAGTACGAGAACTAATTCTTACTAATTGTAAGATTGTACCTGCTGACAAACCTCTCACCATCTCTTCCTCTCCGCTATTCTCCCAAGTCGCTGCTAACCACTATTCTACTTTCAACTTCTCTGAGATCAGTTTTTTTAGATTCTATATATAAGTGTGATGACACAGTATTTGTCTTTCTGTGCCCAGCATTTCACTTAACAC
This sequence comes from Homo sapiens, assembly GCF_000001405.40. Classification (NCBI taxonomy): domain Eukaryota; kingdom Metazoa; phylum Chordata; class Mammalia; order Primates; family Hominidae; genus Homo; species Homo sapiens. The sequence goes on along the minus strand of NC_000011.10, from coordinate 58,419,924 downwards.
AATGTGCTCCAGATTCATCCATGTTACTGCAAATGACAAGATTTCATCTTTTGTAAGGCTGAATAGTATTCTATTGTGTATATATACTGCAGTATCTTTATCCATTCATCTGTTGATGGGCATTTAGGTTGATTCCATATGTTGGCTATTATAAATAGTGCTGCAATAAACACTGGAGTCCAGATATTTTTTAACACACTGATTTTATTTCCTTTGGATATATGCCCAGTAGTTGGATTGCTGGATCATGTGGTAGTTCTAGTTTTAATTTTTTGAGGAACCTCCATACTGTTTTCCATAATGACTCTATTAGCTTATATTCCCACCAACAGTGTATAAGAGTTCCCCTTTCTCCACATCTTTGCCACATTTATTATATTTTATCTTTTTGTTAATAGCTATTTTAAAACTGGGGCAAGGTGATATCTCATTGTGGTTTTGATTTACATTTCTCTGGATATCAACCCCTTGTCGAATGTATACTTTTCAAATATTTTCTCTCATTCTATATGTTGTCTCTTTTCTCTGCTGATTGTTTCCTTTGCTGTGCCAAAGCTTTTTAGTTTGATGTGGTCCCATTTATTTATTTTTGCTTTTGTTGTTGCTGCTTTTGGGGTCTTCTCTAAAAATATCCTTGTGTGGACCAATGTCATGAACATTTTCCTATGTTTTCTTCTAGTAGTTTTATAATTTTGGGTATTACATTTAAGTCCTTAATTCATTTAGAGTTAATTTTTGTATATGGTGAGAGATAGAGTCTAGTTTTATTCTTTTTCATGTGGATATCTAGTTTTCCCAGCACCAATTATTGAAGAAGCTGTTTTTACCCCATTAAGTGCTCTTGACTCCTTTATTGAAAATCAATTGGCTGTAAATTCTTGAATTTATTTTTGGGCTCTCTATTTTGTTCTGTTGGTCTATGTGTCTGTTTTTATTCCAACACCATGCTGTTTTGGTTACTATAGCTTTACAGCACATTTCGGGTTCAGATAGTATAAAGCCTCCAGCTTTTTCTTTTTTTGCTTAAGATTGTTTTGGCTATTTAGGGTATTTTATGGTTCCATATTGCCAAGACCAGCTTGGTCGGGGAGACCCTAACCCAGTGGCGCTAGAGGAATTAAGGACACATACACACAAACATAGAGGTGTGAAGTGGGAAATCAGGGGTCTCACAGTCTTCAGAGCTGAGAGCCCTGAACAGAGATTTACCCATGTATTTATTAACAGCAAACCAGTCATTAGCACTGTTTCTATAGTTGTTAAATTAACTAAAAGTATCTCTTAAGGGAAACGAAGGGATGGGCCGAATTAATTGCAGCAGGAACACGCCCTTAAGACACAGATCACTCATGCTTTTCCTTGTGGCTCAAGAATGCCTTTAAGTGGTTCTCCACCCTGGGCGGGCCAGGTGTTCCTTGCCCTCATTCCCGTGAACCCACAACCTTCCAGCTTGGGCGTTATGGCCATTATGGACATGTTACATTGCTGCAGATATTTTATTTATGGCCAATTTGGGGGCCAGTTTATGACCAGACTTTGGGGGGCTTGCTTCCAACACCATATGAATTTTTTGATTGCTTTTTTCTAACTCTGAAAAATAACATTGGTATTTTGATGGGGATTGCATTGAAACTGTAGACTGCTTTAAACACTATAATCATTTTAATGGATGATATTAATTCTTTCAACCCATGAGTATGGCATGTTTTTCCATTTGTGTTATCTATAATTTCTTTCATCACTGTTTTGTAGTTTTCCTTGTAGATATCCTTTACCTCCTTGGATAAATTTATTGCAAGGTCTTTTATTATTTTTTGTAGGTATTGTAAGTGGGATTGCTTTCTTTATTTCTCTCAGACAGTTTGATATTGATGTATGGAAACATTGCTAATTTTTGTATGTTGTCTTTTTATCTTGCAATTTTACTATATTTGTTTATTAGTTCTAACAGTTTTTTGGTGGAGTCTTTAGGATTTCCCGTATATAAGATAATGTCATCTGCAAACAGGAACAATTTGACTACCTCCTTTCTAATTTCACTACATTTTGTTCTTTCTCCTACCTAATTACTCTTGCTAAAACTTCCAGTACTATGCTGAATAGTAGTGGTGAAAGTGGGCATCCTTGTCTTGTTTGAGATCTTAGAGGAAGAACTTTCAATTCTTTCCCATTCAATACAATGTTGGCTGTGGATTTACTGTATGTTGCCTTTATTATATGAAGGTTATAGTACTTCTAAACCTGATTTATTGAGGTTTTATCATGAAGGGATATTGAATTTTGTCAAATGCTTTTTCTGCCTCTATTGAAATAATCATGTTTTTATCCTTTCTTTGTTAATGTGATGTATCACATTTATTGATTGGCATGTGTTAAACCATCCTTGTATCCCTGGTATAAATCCCACTTGATCATGGTGAATGATCTTTTTAATGTGCTGTTGAACTTTTATTGCTAGCATTTTGTTGAAAATTTTTGCATCTACACTCATCAGGAATATTGGCCTGTAGCTCTCTTTCTTTCTGTGTCCTTGTCTGGTTTTGGTTTTAGAGTAATTATCACCTCATAGCATGAGTTTGGAAGTGTTCCATTCTTTTCAATTATTTTCTATAGTTTGTGAAAAATTCTAAAGAACTTAATTTTTTTTGTAGAATTCAGCAGTGAAGCCATGAGGTCCAGCACTTTTCTTTGATTAGAGACTTTATTACTGATTCAGTTTCATTACTCATTGTTGGTCTGTTCAGACATTCTATTTTTTAAATTCAATCTTAATAGGTTTTATATGTCCAGGAATTTATCTATTTATTCTAGGTTTTCTAATTTGTTGGGATATAATTGTCCACAGCAGTTTCTTATCATCCTTCATATTTCTTTAGTATCAGTTGTAATGTCTTCTTTTTCATCTCTGATTTTATTGGTTTGCTGATTATTCTGATTTGATTATTCCACAGTGTACACATATATTGAAATATCATTCTTTACCCCTTAAATATATGTAATTATTGTTTTTCAATTAAAAATAAAATAAAATAATAAAAAACATACATCTTAAAACAAATGGAAACAAAACCACAACATAACAAAGCTGATGGGATGTAGCAAAAACAGTACTAAGAAGGAAGTTTATAACAATAAATGACTACATTAAAGAAGAAAGATTTCAAATAATCTAACTGTACACTTCAAAGAACTGGAAAAAATTAAACTAAAAATTAGAAGAAGGAAGGAAAAAATAAATATGAGAGCAGAAAAAAACTAAAAAATAGAAAACTAACAGAAAAATCAGTGAAAGTAAGAGTTTTTTGAAAAGATAAAATTGACAAATGCTTAGCTAGACTTAAGAAAAAAGGTAAATTTTGATTCAAATTTTTAAAAATGAAAGATGTGAAATTATAACTGATGCCACCAAAGTAAAAAGGATTATTAAAGACTACTATGAACAATTTTTTACCAAGATTGGATAACCAAGAAGAAATGAATAAATTCCTAGATTCATAAAACATACCAAGACCAAATCACAAAAAAATACAAAGTCTGGAATGACCAATAATGAGTAAACAGATTGAATCAGTAATCAAAAAGCTCCCCCAAATTAAATCCCAGAATAGATAATTTCTTTTTTTATATTTTTTTTATTATATTTTAAGTTCTAGGGTACATGTGCACAACATGCAGGTTTGTTACATATGTATACATGTGCCATGTTGGTGTGCTGCACCCATTAACTCATCATTTACATTAGGTGTATCTCCTAATGCTATCCCTCCCCCTTCCCCCAACCCCACAACAGGCGCCGGTGTGTGATGTTCCCCTGACTGTTTCCAAGGGTTCTCATTGTTCAATTCCCACCTATGAGTGAGAACATGTGGTGTTTGGTTTTTTGTCCTTGCGATCATTTGCTGAGAATGATGGTTTCCAGCTTCATCCATGTCCCTACAAAGGACAAGAACTCATCATTTTTTATGGCTGCATAGTATTCCATGGTGTATATGTGCCACATTTTCTTAATCCAGTCTATCATTGTTGGACATTTGGGTTGGTTCCAAGTCTTTGCTATTGTCAGTAGTGCTGCAATAAACATAGGTGTGCATGTGTCTTTATAGCAGCATGATTTATAACCCTTTGGGTATATACCCAGTAATGAGATGGCTGGGCCAAATGGTATTTCTAGTTCTAGATCCCTGAGGAATCGCCACACTGTCTTCCACAATGGTTGAACTAGTTTACAGTCCCACCAACAGTGTAAAAGTGTTCCTATTACTCCACATCCTCTCCAGCACCTGCTGTTTCCTGACTTTTTAATGATCGCCATTCTAACTGGTGTGAGATGATATCTCATTGTGGTTTTGATTTGCATTTCTCTGATGACCAGTGATGATGAGCATTTTTTCATGTGTCTTTTGGCTGCATAAATGTCTTCTTTTGAGAAGTCTCTGTTCATATCCTTCGCCCACTTTTTGATGGGGTTGTTTTTTTCTTGTAAATTTGTTTGAGTTCATTGTAGATTCTGGATATTAGCCCTTTGTCAGATGAGTAGATTGCAAAAATTTTCTCCCATTCTGTAAGTTGCCTGTTCACTCTGATGGTAGTTTCTTTTGCTGTGCAGAAGCCCTTTAGTTTAATTAGATCCCATTTGTCAATTTTGGCTTTTGTTGCCATTGCTTTTGGTGTTTTAGACATGAAGTCCTTGCCCATGCCTATGTCCTGAATGGTATTGCCTAGATTTTCTTCTAGTGTTTTTATGGTTTTAGGTCTAACATGTAAGTCTTTAATCCATCTTGAATTAATTTTTGTATAAGGTGTAAGGAAGGGATCCAGTTTCAGCTTTCTACATATGGCTAGCCAGTTTTCCCAGCACCATTTATTAAATAGGGAATCCTTTCCCCATTTCTTGTTTTTGTCAGCTTTGTCAAAGGTCAGATGGTTGTAGATGTGTGGTATTATTTCTGAGGGCTCTGTTGTGTTCCATTGGTCTATATCTCTGTTTTGGTACCAGTACCATGCTGTGTTGGTTACTGTAGCCTTGTAGCATAGTTTGAAGTCAGGTAGCGTGATGCCTCCAGCTTTGTTCTTTTGGCTTAGGATTGACTTGGAGATGTGGGCTCTTTTTTGGTTCCATATGAACTTTAAAGTAGTTTTTTCCAGTTCTGTAAAGAAAGTCATTGGTAGCTTGATGGGGATGGCATTGAATCTACAAATTACCTTGGGTAGTATGGCCATTTTCATGATATTGATTCTTCCTATCCATGAGCATGGAATGTTCTTCCATTTGTTTGTGTCCTCTTTTATTTCATTGAGCAGTGGTTTGTGGTTCTCCTTGAAGAGGTCCTTCACATCTCTTGTAAGTTGGATTCCTAGGTATTTTATTCTCTTTGAAGCAATTGTGAATGGGAGTTCACTCATGATTTGGCTCTCTGTTTATATGTTATTGGTATATAAGAATGCTTGTGATTTTTGCACATTGATTTTGTATCCTGAGACTTTCCTGAAGTTGCTCATCAGCTTAAGGAGATTTTGGGCTGAGACGATGGGGTTTTCTAGATATACAATCATGTCATCTGCAACAGGGACAATTTGACTTCCTCTTCTCCTGATTGAATACCCTTTATTTCTTTCTCCTGCCTGATGGCCCTGGCCAGAACTTCCAACATTGTGTTGAATAGGAGTGGTGAGAGAGGGCATCCCTGTCTTGTGCCAGTTTTCAAAGGGAATGCTTCCAGTTTTTGCCCATTCAGTATGATATTGGCTGTGGGTTTGTCATAAATAGCTCTTATTATTTTGAGATACGTCCCATCAAGACCTAATTTATTGAGAGTTTTTAGCATGAAGGGCTGTTGAATTTTGTCGAAGGCTTTTTCTGCATCTATTGAGATAATCATGTGGTTTTTGTCTTTGGTTCTGTTTATATGCTGGATTACATTTATTGATTTGCATATTTTGAACCAGCCTTGCATCCCAGAGATGAAGCCCACTTGATCATGGTGGATAAGCTTTTTGATGTGCTGCTGGATTCGGTTGGCCAGTATTTTATTGAGGATTTTTGCATTGATGTTCATCAGGGATATTGGTTTAAAATTCTCTTTTTTTGTTGTGTCTGTGCCAGGCTTTGGTATCAGAATGATGCTGGCCTCATAAAATGAATTATGGAGCATTCCCTCTTTTTCTACTGATTGGAATAGTTTCAGAAGGAATGGTACCAGCTTCTCCTTGTACCTCTGGTAGAATTCGGCCGTGAATTCGGAACCAGATAACTTCTCTGGTGAAATTTACCAAACATTTTTAAAAAGAGGAAACGTCAATTATTATCACACTCTTCCAAATAACTGAAGAGAAGAGAACACTTTTAAACTAATTTTATGTGGCTAGCATTATTCTCACATTCAAAACAAGGAAAAGGTACCATAAGAATGGAAACTACAGACAATATTTCTGATGACTATAGGTAAGAAATCCTCAACAAAATACTAGTAAACTTAACACAATAGCACAATAAAAGAATCATACACCATGATCAGGTGAAATTTACGTCTAGGATGCAAGCATGGTTTAAACTGATTAGTATTAAAGATAACATTAACAGAATGAATGATAAAAAATCACAAGATCATCTGAATTGTTGCAGAAAAGTATTCAATGAAATTTACCACCTTTCAATGATAAAAACCCTAAACAGGCTAGATATAGAAGAAATGTACTCTAACATAATAAAGCCTATGTAAAAAGCCCACAGCTAGTATCATACTCAAAGTTTAAAAAGTGAAAGATTTTCCTTTAAGATCAGAAAGAAGACAAGGATGCCCACTCATATCACTCCTATTGGCCATAGTACTGAAAGTCCTAGCCAGAACAATTAGGCAAGAGAAAGAAATAAAAGACACTGAAATAGGTAAAACTGTCTCTATTCATGGAAGATGTGATCTTATATACAGAAGATCTTAACAACTACTAAGAAACACCTGTTAGAACTAATGAATTTAGTAAAGCTGCAGGATACAAAATCAACACACAAAATCCCGTTGCATATCTATACACTAACAATAATCTACCTGAAAAAAAAGTTTAAAAAATCCTATTTACAACAACATGAAAAACAATGAAATACTTAGAAATAAAGTTAACCAATAAGGTGAAAGTCATACATTTAAAACATAACAAGAAATGATGAAAGAAATTGAAGAAGACTCAAATAAATTGGAAGATATCTGCATTCATGAATTGGAAGAATTAATGATGTTAAAATGTTCATACTACGAAATGCAAGCTACAGATTCAATGCAACCCCCACAAAAATTCCAATGGCATCTTTTTTACAGAAATGGAAATATAGTCTAAAAATTCATATGAAACCACAAAGACTCTAAATAGCCAAGACAATCCTGACAAAGAAGAAAAAAGCTGGAGACATTACAGTTCTGATTTCAGAATATGTTACAAAGACTACAGTAAAGAAAACAGTATTATATTTCTATAAAGATAGACATATGGAAGAGTGGAACAGAATAGAGGGCTCAGGAATAAACCTAGGAATATGCAGTCAACTGATCTTCAACAAGGGAGCCAGGGATACATAATGAGAAAAGGAAAGTCTCTTCAAGAAATAGTATTGGGAAATCTGCATATCTACATGCAAAAGTAGGATCTTTGCAAAAGATGTTACTCAAATGAATCTTTATCTTATACCATACACAAAAATAAATTTAAATGGATGCAAAATTAAACATATACTTGAATCTTGAAACCCCTAGGAAAAAAAACTAGGGAATAAACTTTTTGTCATTAACCTTGGCAATGATATCTTGAATATGACACCTAATGCACAAGCAGTAAAAGCTAAAATAAGTGGAACTACAACAAACTGTTTCTGCATAGTGATAGAAACCATCAAAAACATAGAAAGGCAACTTACAGAATAGGAGACAATATTTACCAACATTACACTTGATAAGTGTTACTATTTAAAGTGTATAAGGAGGGCTGGGCATGGTGGCTCACATTTGTGAGACCAAAGCAGGAGGGTAGCTTGAGGCCAGGAGTTTGAGACCAGCCCGAGCAATATAGTGAGACACCATTTCTACAAAAAGTTTTAAAAATTAGCCAGGCATGGTGGTGCATGCCTATAGTCCCAGATACTCAGGATGCTGAGGTGGAAGGATCATTTGAAGCCAGGATGCTGAGGCTGCAGTGAGCCATGATTGTACCACTGCACTTCAGCCATGTGACAGAGTGAGACCCCATCTGAAAAAATAAAATATAAAATATATTAGGAATTCCTACAAATCAGTAGTAAAAATTAATTCTATTTAAAAATAGGTAAAAGTCTCGAATAACTATTTTTCCATAGAAGGCATACAAAAGGTCAACAGGGATATGAAAATTTGCTCAACATCATTAATTGCCTTGGTTCATTTAATGTTGCTTATAACAGGATGCCTAAAACTAGATAGTTTATTTTTAAAAAGAAATTTATTTCTCACAGTTTTAGAGAATAAGCAGTCCAGGGTTGAGGGGCCATATCTGGTGAGGGCCTTCTTGCTGGTGGGGACTCCCTGCAAAGTCTCATAGCCGCACAGGACATCATATGGTGAGAGGACGGAGCATGCTAGCTCAGATCTCTTTTTACAAACCCACAAGTCCAAGTCCCATGAAAACTCATTAATACATTAACCCATGAATTCATTAATCTATTAGTCTATGAAGGGATCAACCCATTCATGAGAGCTGAGCTCTCATGACCCAAACACCTCTCTAAACTTTCACCTATATAGGAAGATCGTATTTTGTCCATTTTTGAAGGTTAGTTTTGCCAGATGTAGAATTCTCAGTTGACAGTTGTTTAAATTTTCCTTTAATACCTTAAAATATATCATCTTGCTACTTTTGGACTCATGATTTCTGATGATAAATCATTTATGAATATGAGTGAAAATCGTGTGTATGTGAGAAGTTGCTTATATTTTGCAGCTTTTGTAATTCTTTCACTTTGAACAGTTTGACTGTAATGTGTATGGGGATCACATCATGTTAATCCCTCTTAAACTTTGTGAGCTTTTTGTAAGTGCAGATTTGTGAAGTTAATCAAGTTTGGGAAGTTAGTGGCCATAGTTCTTCAAATATTTCTTATGAACTTTCCCTTATTTCACCTCTCATTCTTGCACTCTACTTGTGCTCATGTTGGTATACTTGATGGCATGCAAGAGGTCTCAAGCTCTTTCCATTCTGTCTTCATTCTGTTTTCCTTTCTTCTCCTGAGACCAGATTGCTTTAATTGACACATCTAGAAATTCACTTATTTGGCCAGACATGGTGGCTCATGTCTATAATACCAGTACTTTGGGAGTCTGAGGCAGGTGGATCACTTGAGCTCAGGAGTTCGAAACCAGCCTCGGCAACATGGCAGAACCTTGACACAAAAAGAAAGAAAGAAAGAAAATGCATCCAGGTGTATTGGTGCATGCCTGTGGCCCCAGCTACTTGGGAGGCTGAGGCAGGATGATCCCTTAGAGCCAAGAGGTGGAGACTGTAGTGAGCCATGATTACACCACTGCACTACAGCCTGGGTGACAGAGTAAGACTTTGTCTCAAAAAGAAAGAAGGAAGGAAAGAAGGAAGGAAGGAAGGAAGGAAGGAAGGAAGGAAGGAAGGAAAGAAGGAAAAGAGGGAGGGAGGGAGGGAAGGAGGAAGGAAAGAAATTCACTGATTTTTTTCCTTCTCTTGCCAAATATTGTTAAAACCCTCTGGTGAATTTTTTATTTCACTCATTGTACTTTTCAGCTCCAGAAATTTTACCTTTTTTAAAATAATTTTTATTTTTAATTAATATTTATTATATATTGAAACACCATTGTCCTAGTTTTCTTTAGTTCCTTGTCAATTTTTTCCCCTTAATCCCTTTGAGCCCATTTAAGGCAATTGATTTAATATTTTTGTCTTCTAAGCATAACGTTTATGCTTCCTCAGAACAATTTCTGTTAATTTTTGTTTTCTTGGAAGTTGGAAATGGTTTCTTGATCCTTCGTATGTCTCCTATTTTTGGTTGAAATTTTGACATTTTTAATATTATAATATGGTAATTCTGGAAGTCAAATTATCTCCCCTTCTATCCCCAGTTTCATTTGTTGTTGCTTGCTCTGGGTGCAGTTGTTTATTTAGTGAGTTTTATTAAAATATTTGAAAGAATGTATTTATTGTCATATGTGTCCTCTGAGGTCTCTGTACTTGTGGTCACGTAGCAGTTTAACAGATACTTCCTAAAAATGTCATGTGAGGTCGCCTTTTTCTTGAATCATCATTCACTTTGTTTCTGTAGATCCTTGACTATTTTCCAGAGTTCAAACAAAGTTGATTGTGCCAGTTTTTGCTTGCTTTTTTAGTGTTTCTGTGGAGTAACAGGCCCTTAAAATATTCTAATCTATCACTTTTCTTGCCCCCATCTTACAAGGAACTGGTAACTGCATTTACAGCCCACTGAATAATTTAGGTTAAACTCCATCTTGCTGTCCTTAATTTGATCATAACTGCAAAGCAGTTGTCATATAAGGTAAAATTTACTGATTCCAGGTATTAGAATCTGATATTTTGGAAGATAAATATTCAGCATCCTACAGATTTATTTCTCACTTATGCTATGACATGTCTGTCACACAGGTTGTCTGGCTAAGTGAAAAGCTGTATGTGGTCACTCAAAGACACCTGCTGATGAAGGTATCATCATCTGTTTCTGCACCTGCTGGAACATTAAGCCTTTTGATTATCATAGCAGGAGATGAGATAAGTGGAGAGTAGTGTGTATGTTTCAACCAACATTACAATTCTTTCCATAGTTCATTATCTAGAACTATTACATGTCCTACCTAGCTGGAATGGGGCATGCACATGTAGAAAAGCAGGTGGATTTTTTGTGTACCACTGTTTTGTGACCCATCTATGGAAAATATTATAAATAATAAATATTAATATTTAACCTATCAAACACCTGATATATGGTAGAAAGTGTGCTGTGCTCTATAAATACGTCATGTGATTATCTTTTTGAAAATATTATGAGAATGACAAGATAGTATTTTCTTCTTCCTTACAGAAGAGAAGCTGAAGTTTGAAAAGGCTACATTTCTTACTCAAATTTGAGGTGAAGCAACAACCTTGGTGTACAGAACAAATGTTTAATCATGACACTGGCTTGTACTAAGAGAGATGTGATAAGTCTGCTTGGGAGTGTGGTGTGGGCTCAGAAGCAACAGTGCAAAGCGATGAATCTGTGTGCAAAAGGATGAATCTGTCTCCTTTTTTGGAAAAGAAAAGCATTCCCAGGCCAGAATTGTGGTGATAAGGTAGATAAGTGTTAAGAAAATCGGTAAGGAGATATCTTAGAGAAAAATCAAAAAAAGTAAAATAAAAATTAAATTAAAAAATTTTTAAATATAAAATGCTGATACAGAGGTGAGACAATTTGAACGAACTGCTAGTGGGAATTCAAAATAGTAGAATATCTTCAGAAAAGATGTTGACAGTTTCTTATTCAGATAAACATGTGCTTACCATAGAACAATTCAATCTGACTCATAAATATTTATTCAAATGAAATGAAAATCTATGTTCACCTCAGAAACTTTTTTTTTGAGACAGAGTCTCACTCTGTAGCCAAGGCTGGAGTACAGAGGCGCAATCTTGGCTCATTGCAGCCTCCGCCTCTGCCTCCGCCTCTGCCTCCCGGGTTCAAGCAATTCTCCTGCCCCAGCCTCCTGAGTAGCTGGGATTACAGGTGCCCGCCACCATCCCTGGCTAATTTTTGTATTTTCAGTAGAGAATGAGCTTCACCATGTTGACCAGGCTGGTCTTCAACTACTTACCTCAAGTGATCCACCCCGCTCGGCATCCCAAAGTGCTAGGATTACAGGCATGAGCCACAGTGCCTCACCCAGAAATCTTTAATGAAATGTTTAGATCAGCTTTATTTCTACTCACCAAACACTAAAACCAATACAAATGTTCCTCAGTTGCACAATGAGAAAAACAATCTGTAATGTCCACATAATGCAATATTCTTCTACAATAAAAAAGATTTAACTCTGACATAGGCAACAATATATATGGGTCTCAATTGCTAAGTGAAAGTGAAAGATGCCAGACTCAAAGACTACATATTCTAGGATTATATTTAAAGACATTCTAGCAAAAGCAAAATTATTTGGACAAAAACAATTTACTTGTTGCCAGGGTAGCGGGTGGGAAAAGAGGTTACCAAAAAGTCGGCTTAGAAAATTTTTTTTATGTAATTGTTGCAGTCATTATGTGACCATGTATTTGACAAAATTCTTAGAACTGTACAGTAAAGTGTGTATTAATACTGGGTATTACTGTATGTAAATTATGCATTAATTAGAGAATGAAAAAAATAAATTTAATATGCACACAAATTATGTGCACATATTAAAAATAATAAGCTTGATCCCCACCGGCAGCTTTAATTGCTTCTTCACCAGGAAAGTAGAATGAGGAGCTGTAGATCCTCTCACAGGGGACATCTCCAGAGATCTCCATGCCCTTATAATTCTCCTCATGTCTCCATATATTAGCATCTAAAATCCCAACATGACTCCCAACATGATGTAGTTTTAGAGAGACCACACTGTGTACAAAGCTCTGCAGATCATAATTTATTCATCTAAAGGATAATTGTTTTTAGTTCATGCATGCCTTCTGACCTGAGGCTTTGCTATGAAGCTTCAACCCTGCTCAGGGAAAACATCCCGAGTTAAAAATTACATTGACTGATTTTTGCATGATGGCCCCTTAGCAAGATGTTTTACAGGCCTCCCTTACTTGTTCTTTACAGATGCAATTCTGTGAATTATGTGAGAGAGGTAATCTTAACATGTTTATTTTCTCAAGAAAGGGGAAGATAAGTAATTCCTTTAAGTTCACAGAAAGAATTAATAGTAGATTCAGGACTTTTTCCGTGTTAATGCTCTTCCCTTTATTTCTCCATGCCTAAGAGACCTTGAAACCTGTTGACCACTATCTGAAAGCAAGCTTCTCCAAACATATTAATGCAATGTTCCATGGCTGATTTTCTGATTGCAGAACAACTATTCTGTATTGACTGTTTCTGCTCATCCAGCTGTAAGGTAAGCTTCTATATCTAAGAAACATTTTAGAGACAAGTGTAACTCATGCAAAAGCAGTGGGGCAGCTATACCTACTATAAGCTATTTGAGAGCAGAAATAGATGTTTTCAACATTTTTTCTAAAATACTGAGGTGGGCATAGGGCATAAATGTTCCATTATAGGAAATTTAGTGGTTCTTATGAAATGTGCTTCTTCCTCCAAAGATATGAACAAAAAATAAGATAGATGATGCTCTGACTGACTAGGTGGTAATTTTATCTGTTTGTTATATATTGGTTTCTCATGAGTGGTAAAAAAAAAAACCAAAAACAAACAAAAACAAGTGAAATGTTCATTCTTTAAACTACAAAAAGGTGTTAAATGAATTAACGAGCTATGACCTGTGTTTTAACTTTTTTTATAATCTCATTACTATTAGCGCATCTACCTATGTTGACAGTGATGTGGCTGAAAGTTTTGACTTTTGATTAGATTGAAGATGGATTTAACTCTTGAACCTTGACTCTCAAACTAGTCATATAATTTTGGAGCATCATATCACTTCTCAAATTGTCAATGTTCTTAACGATAAAGTAATAATACTATCTAACTCTCTCTCTCTTTCTCTCTCACACACACACATGCGCACACACGCATATACACACACATTATTTATATATAAAGTTTTTATTATTGGTTGTAGAACATAGTGTATGCTAAATGCGGTCAGGTATGTTAAAGTTAGCAACATAACACCTTCATAGGTCAGGCTTGGGAAGTGAAGTTGCCAAGTGTTTAAAAGAAAGACAGTAGGAAACAGTAGTTAGTATTGGTTGGACACCCTTCTCCAGGCCCCAATCCAAATACACAGACTTAAAGTATTATTCCTGATTTCATTCTTTTTTTCATGGCTGTGTAGTATTCCATGGTGTATATGTACCACATCTTCTTTATCCAGTCTACCACTGACGGGCACCAGGGCTGATTCTATGCTTTCATTGTTGTGAATAGCGTGCTGATGATCATACAGGTACATGTGTCTTTTTAAAAAAAAAGTCCAACTTTTAAGTTCAGGGCTACGTGTGCAGGATGTGCAGGTTTATTACATAGCTAAGATGTGCCATGGTGATTAGCTGTACAGATCATCCCATCACCTAGGTATTAAGCCCAGCATCCATTAGCTTTTCTTCCTGATGCTCTCCCTCCTCCTACCCACCATCCTCTGACAGGCCCCAGTGTGTGTTGTTCTCTACCATGTGTCCATGTGGTTTCATCGTTCAGCTCCCACTTAAAAGTGAGAGCATGCAGTATTTGATTTTCTGTTTCTGCATTAGTTTGCTGAGGATAATGGCTTCCAGATCCATCTATGTCCCTGCAAAGGAGATGATCTCGTTCTTTTTTATGGCTGCATAGTATTCCATGGTGTATATGTACCACATTTTCTTTATCCAGTCTATCATTGATGGGCATTTAGGTTGACCATATGTATTTGTCTTTTTAGTAAAATGACTTATTACCTTTTGAGTATATACTGGGTCAAATAGTAATCTGTACACTAGATTTATGGAATACTACATAGCCCTAAAAAATGAAATCATGTCCTTTGCAGCAACGTGGATGAATCTGGAGGCCATAATCTTAAGCAAAGTAACACAAGAACAGAAAACCAAATAACTCATGTTCTCACTAATAAGTGAGAGCTAAATTATGAGAACACATGGACATAAATATGGGAACAATAGACACTGTGGACTACTAGAGGATGGAGAAAGAGAGGGTGGGCTTAAAAACTACCTATCAGATGGTATGCTCACTACCAGGGTGACAGGATCCATACTCCAAACCTCAGCATCATGCATATTCCCACGTAAGAAATCTGCACGTGTAACCCTTGTATCTAAAATGAAAGTTGAAATTTTAAAACATTAAAATAAATAAATACTAAAATATTGTTCCAAAACAAGAATAGATTCAAATAAAATATTTTATCACATGGAACTTGCCACCAAATCAGATCTGTGAGCTAAATAAAGATAGCCCATAAAGTAGGAAATTTTAACCCTTAATCTTTGATTTAACTATGGAATAACAGTAATAAGAGAAAGAATGGCTTTAGGAAAAAGAAACTTTTTTACCCACACTAAAATGTGGATTTCAAGGGAGAAATTAAGAAAAAGAAAGGCTCATGTGAATCTTCCGGAGCAGACAATCATTTGCTTGGAGGAAGAACAACCTGAAAATCACTGAAGAACACAGAAAATCTCAGTGGTCCTAGCATGGAGGAAAAGAAAATTGGAGGTGGGAGCTTCAAGATTTCAAAGCTCACCCATGCCTGCAGCCCTGCTTGTCACCATCCACCTTTATCAAACCAACAAAAAGATTATCACCTATCTAATAATAATATTTAATATTATAACTAGCACTCATTAGGCTGTGCTTAACATCTAGCATTTTTAATGGATTATCTTATTTAATTCTCACAATAATACCTCAAAGTAGGTCACATTACTGTTTTAGTGTTACAGAAGAAAATGTGATGTTTAAGGGAATTAGATTAGAACCAGTGATTCCCAGGTGGTAAGTCGTGGACTGATACGCAACTCTTTCAAGAACTCAAGCTCTGTATCTGCTCTGTTTGGTGATAGGCTTCTCTCAGAATTGTTTCTGGTAGTTGAACATGCCCCAAACAACCCTGTTACCCCAGCCCATTTACTAAGCATATATTACTTGCTTACTTCATTGTGAAACTCAAAACACTGAGTTTGTACCAAAGGAGACAATGAGTGATTGTAAATACAGTTGTATTCAATTTGATTTAAATTCAGTTTAGACCATTAGATTTAGGAACCATTCAGCATGGGTTCAAAAGTTGGTATGGGTCCAAAGCATGGCTTGCCATTTAATACTTGTATAAATATGAATATGTTACTCAACCTCCTGTGCTTCATAATTTAAATGAATGCAACAACTAATCAAATACATAATATTGTAGAAAGGAAATAATGAATATATATCTTAAATGTCTAGAGAAGTTCTTGGTAAATTAGCAACATGTGTCAGCTTTTACTGTGCTCAGGAAAAGTAAATTGACAGATAGATGCATCTAGATGAGTCATCTTGATCAGGTTAGTAAATTTTATAAATATGAGTTTACACATTTATAATATCTAAAAGTTGTGTAGATAATCTACTAAGATTCTTCAGTTTCAACAGTATGTAACTCTGTATAATTAATGCACTGCATTTGGTTGTCAAGGCCGCGCTTTTTCTAGGGAATCTTGAAGTACAAGTTATTGCTACAATGAAGGAATACATATTGTACTTATACTTTTCAATTTTAATTCAATTTATTTATCACACTGTTCTTTTTTGTATTGCTACAAGCATCCTGTGAGTCCCCCAGAGCAGTGATGGAAAATAAGACAGAAGTAACACAATTCATTCTTCTAGGACTAACCAATGACTCAGAACTGCAGGTTCCCCTCTTTATAACGTTCCCCTTCATCTATATTATCACTCTGGTTGGAAACCTGGGAATTATTGTATTGATATTCTGGGATTCCTGTCTCCACAATCCCATGTACTTTTTTCTCAGTAACTTGTCTCTAGTGGACTTTTGCTACTCTTCAGCTGTCACTCCCATCGTCATGGCTGGATTCCTTATAGAAGACAAGGTCATCTCTTACAATGCATGTGCTGCTCAAATGTATATCTTTGTAGCTTTTGCCACTGTGGAAAATTACCTCTTGGCCTCAATGGCCTATGACCGCTATGCAGCAGTGTGCAAACCCCTACATTACACCACAACCATGACAACAACTGTGTGTGCTCGTCTGGCCATAGGCTCCTACCTCTGTGGTTTCCTGAATGCCTCCATCCACACTGGGGACACATTTAGTCTCTCTTTCTGTAAGTCCAATGAAGTCCATCACTTTTTCTGTGATATTCCAGCAGTCATGGTTCTCTCTTGCTCTGATAGACATATTAGCGAGCTTGTTCTTATTTATGTTGTGAGCTTCAATATCTTTATAGCTCTCCTGGTTATCTTGATATCCTACACATTCATTTTTATCACCATCCTAAAGATGCACTCAGCTTCAGTATACCAGAAGCCTTTGTCCACCTGTGCCTCTCATTTCATTGCAGTCGGCATCTTCTATGGGACTATTATCTTCATGTACTTACAACCCAGCTCCAGTCACTCCATGGACACAGACAAAATGGCACCTGTGTTCTATACAATGGTCATCCCCATGCTGAACCCTCTGGTCTATAGTCTGAGGAACAAGGAAGTGAAGAGTGCATTCAAGAAAGTTGTTGAGAAGGCAAAATTGTCTGTAGGATGGTCAGTTTAACATTGTGGGATGCACCATAACCTAGTTTTATTTCTCTCGGATCTTCTCCATGTTCTGAATCACATTTAAGGTCCACAATAAAGTTAAATTCCTGAAGTGATTGCCATGCCTGTTTAAAAGTCTATTGTCTAAATAAAAGGAAACATTATGTCCAGAAACATAACATCTGAACAAGAATGGCTAAGACATCTTGGGACTTCCTTGCCAAAAACCTTAAAGATATTAATGTATTCATTTATTCTACATCCATTTTTTTTCTACCACATGTCAATGCAAATATGCATAAAACCAGAGCAAAAACAAGTCCATTAATAGAAGTACATGAAGGTTTCCCATGAAGTGGGGAATTTTCCATAGGTGTGGAAAGTGTGCCTGGATTCAATGTAATGTGGCAAGTTCTGATGGTTAATTTTATGTGTCAGTTTCGCTGGATTAAGGGATGCCCAGATAGCTGCTTAGACATTATTCTGAATATGTCTGTGAAGATGTTTCCAGAAGAGATTAATATTTGAATCAGGAGACTGAGGAAGATCTGCCATCACCAGTATGGGTGGCCATCATTCAATCTACTGAGGGCTCACCTGAAAAGAACAAAAAGGTGGAGGAAGGATGAATTCTCTCTCTTCTTGAGCTGGGTCATTCATCTTCTCTTGTTCTTAGACATTTGAGTTCCTGGTTTCTCGGGTCTTTGGCCTCCAGGCCTTATACCAGTTCCACAACGCTGTCCTGACCTTTCTCAGTCCTTCAAACTCCAAATTACTCTACTGGCTTTCCTGGTTCTCCAGTTTGCAGATAGTATATTGTGAGACTTCTCAGCCTCCATATTCACATGAGCCAGTTCGCATAACAAATCTCCTTTTATCTATGTATCATCTATCTATCTATCTATCTATCTATCTATCTATCTATCTATCTATCTATCATCTATCCATCTCTCTGTTCTGTTTCTCTGTAGAACGCTAATACACTAATATTTGATAAAAATAATTTAAATACTTAATTTGGGTAGTGGAATATAAAGTTAAGCCTAATGCTTTTAAATTTATTTAGCTGAATACTGTTTTAGGAGTCCTCATTTTATTTAAAAAAACATATTATTAAATGAAAGTATATGCTTTTCCTTAGCACATTTTATCAAGAATATGTAAATATAGCATCTCATATGAATTTTTTTATTTGTGTCATTACTGATTTATAGAAGCAACATGTTCATGTTTTAAATTTTAAAAGGATAAAATAACTAGAGTACCAGAAAAACTGAGTAAAAATAAAAGCATTTCTTTGTATATTACTACCAACTTTTACATTGTTTAAAAAATGTACTAAGAAACAAAAAGTGTACATTTTTCTTTCTGCAAATGCTTTGAAATGGTTAATTCTGCTCCTTCATTCTTATTTTAGTTGACATACACCACCTTTTGCAGCTTCACCTGTGTTTTACTCCATTTTGTCCAGGCTGCTCTCCTTGCTGTTTTTCACAATTCCAAGCATGCTCCAACCTCAGGGCCTGTGCACTTGCTGTTCTCTGTGCATAATATTTCCTCACTCCATTCAGGTCTTTCCTTAAATGTGACCCAGTCATAGAGTCCTTCCTTCACCACCTTTATAAAATAATCCCTCTCCCCACCCCATGTACACTACCCCTCATCTCGTGTTATTCTTCCTCGTTTTTATTCACACTCTCCTGTATATTTATTCACTTGTTTACTTTATATCCTTCTATCCAACCAGAATGCAAACTTCATTAAAGCAGTTAATTTTTTGTTGTTTATAAAATCTTTAGTACCTTTCTGATAGTTTATGGTCGCTGACAGTGCATTGTATCAGAAAAAGAAGTGAGCTTTCAAGAAATCTTGAGGCTATGTTATGGTTTAATAAGAGATGCTGGGTTAAAGTGAAGGTGATGAATAGTGGCACGTTCTCATGCTTCTTTTACCTTTGAAACTTAGTGAATTCTAGAGCCAAATCTTTTTTGCCCATGGCCCTCAGCATTATTCTTGGACTGTCCTTTTAGTTTTTAATTGAATCCCTCCCCACCCCCATTCAATTGCTTATGTCTCCATGTATCATAAACTATCAGAAAAGTCTATGGGAAATCATAATTACACAAAATTCCTTTGTAAACAAAACCCTGGGAGAAGAGAAATAACAATAGTGGTGTACAAAACTGCGTGCTTCCCTGGAGATTATCTTTGACAAGATCTCAGAAAGAAGCTGTTCATCTCAGAGCTAAAATATCCCAAAAAACTACCCTGCTACTTCCCAGGAAGAAAAACATCTCTTTGTATGACAAGGGAAGTAGGAGAGTTAATGAGAAAGATGTACCTATACCTACATAGCAGGATGAAAGGGGACTGAGTTGTATGTCTGGTGCTACAGCAAATGTTTTTCCCCTGCTTACAGAAAGGGGGAAAAAGGAAGGTCAAGGAATACAGAAAAATAAGTCTTCAGCCACATATAAGGCACCTTTCTCTATCCTATTCTTGCTGGATCCTGTGAATAGTCGGGGTACAAACTGATAGTCTGTATAAACTGAAGCCTCTTTTGTGCCAAAAGTTAAGACATTCTGGTGATTCCCACTTGGACTTGAGACAAAGGCCATAACTGATTCACCTACAGAGCCCCAATAATATGCAAAGCCCTTCAGGGCCTGGGGCCACATGAGCACAAAGCCAAACAGCCAGTACTCAGTTAAGCGTGACTTACCTTAGGCAAAACCAAGTGGGACTTTAATTTACATGTATGACTGAAAAATAATTAGTTCTCTGCCAAACAGTTTTTAATATTATAGTTTTTAAGGTATTGCTATAAGATGCATTTTGCTAGTTCAAATATTTGTCATTTTTAAGATTATTTTTCTCCCCAGAGAACTGTATCTGCTTCCAATAAATTCAATTTCAATTAAAAAAAAAAATAAATAAATAAAAAATAAAATAAAATAAAATCTTTAGTACCTAAATGAGTGTGTTTTATAGGAGATTTTCAATAAGTATTTGTTAAATGAATGGATAAAATAATTAAGCTTTGAGTCTAATTGTATCAATATGTTGAAACTTTGAACCATTCATGATGATAGTAAACCATCTATAATATAAGCCTTCTAGACAGACATATAGTTCATTTCAAAAGACACAGGTAATTTCTTTGCTGAAACATTTTTACGTATATTCTAAGCACTTTTTCTCCAACTTTTAGACAATCGTTTCCTGAAAATTCTATCATCAAGTAGCTCATTTGAAGCCATCTCATAATTTTTACTTAGATGTGATGTCTCATTAAGTAGACAATAATATATCAAATAAATACTACTTTAATAAATCATAAAAATACGTTAAATGTGAAATTATTTAAGGTTTAATATCTAATTATATTTGAAAATTACTTCATACACATAAATTATAGAATTAATTGAAATGATTCTAAACGTCCATGTAGAATATAAACATGACAATGTCTGTCAGTAGCAAACATAGCATAAATTCAATAGGCTATTATAATGCACATTCTTTATGCATCTTGATTCCTGGAACCTTTCGATCTTACCTTATATTGCCTAAAAGGACTACGTAGAGGTGATTAAGACGGAGATAGTATTGTGGATTATCTGTGTGAGCCCTAAAGGCCCACATATGTCACTATCAGAAGAAGACAGAGAGATGTGATGACAGACAAAAGAGGAGTCAGCAAGGTGACCATGAAAGCAGAAACTAAAGTGATGTGATCCCCAAGGCTTGGAATACCTGCAGCCACCATAAAATGGAAGAGGCAAGAAATAAAATTCTCACTTATAGTTTAGGAAGGAAGCAGGCCTTGCTAATGTGTTAATTTCAGTCCAGTGCCACTGATTTGGGACTTCTGGCTTCCAAACTGTGAAAGAATAAACACCTGTTGTTTTAAGCTTCCTGGTATGTGATGTTTTATAACAGCAGCTTTACAAATCTAACACAAACACTTGCCTGATTTATCCTATGTCATAATCTTACAATATGATGGTACATTTGTCAAAACAACAACAAAAAAAGATTGACACACTATTACTTTCTAAACTTCAGACCTTATTCCGATCTCACTCATTTATCCACTATTTTCCTCTTCTTGCATTTAGTTGTCAGGTTTCCTTAATCTCTTCTAGTTATGACAGATTGTCCATCTTTCCCTGTGTTTTGAGGGAGTGCTGTTGAGACATTCCATAGAATGTCTGAAATGGAAATTATGTTTTTCTGAGGTTTTCGCATTATTTTACTGGGGCTGTACTGTTTTTCAAGTCATATCAGTGATAAAATTTCTCTTCTAGCACATCATATCATGGACACATGCTATCAACATGACTTATCAGTGATGAGTTTAACATGATCACAGATCCTAGGTAAAGTTTGCTTAATTATCTCTCATACAGTTACTTTTGTTCCCCCTTTCTCTGCTCTATTCTTTAGAAACAAATCATTAATTCCAGCTCACACTGTTGGTGTGTGGGAACTAAGCTGCACCTCCTGTTGAGATCAGTGTTTAAACAACTTATTTGGAGTTTTTCTGTAAGCAAGATTTGTCTCCTTTCTCATTTATTTATTTATAATCATTAGGGCATTACATGATGCTCTAAGCTCATCTTGTATTTTTCCTACCACTGTCACAGAGTCAACTGCTTCTACAAAGAGGCTTCTTTATTTTGATAGAGAATGGTGTTTACAAGCCAACATCTGGACACAGGGTGCGCTTGCTGTTTCTGCTGTTTCACTTCTTCCAGGCTCTTTTATCAAAAGAACTAAGTATATATTTCTGTACCCTGTAGTCACAGCAAACTATATTTATTTCTAAATTTATTCATTATATTAAACTAAATATGAGTTCATACTGATGTCTCTGTTGGGGCTTAGAAAATGACACCCCAAAGTATGACACTTTGTCATGACGAGCACTTTGAACTAAAGGACATTGGAAGGCCTCAGAAGCAGCCTCAGAACCAGTCTTTCTGATCTTCCCCTGTCCTCCTGTCTCTTTCCCCTCTTTCTTCCCCAAAATAGGTCAGAAACCAGAATTACTCTTCTCCATGGTGGACCATAGAAACTAGAACTTCTTTTCCCCAGAGCAAGCCTTAAAACCTATAAATATTACTCTTTCTCCCACCTTTCTATTTAGGAGCTTGTCATTAAAAAAAAAATGGACTCATATGCTTGTTGGCCACATGTATGTTTTCTTTTGAAAGGTGTTTGTTCATGTCCTTTGGGCACTCTTTAATGGGGTTGTTTGTTTCTTGTAAATTTGTTCAAGTTCCTTATAGAAGCGGGATAGTAGACCTTTCTCAGAGGCATAGTTTGCAAATATTTTCTCTCATTCTGTAGATAGTTTATTCTGTTGATAGTTTCTTCTGCTGTGCAGAAACTCTTGGTTTAATTGATCCCATTTGTCAATTTTTGCTTTTGTTGCCATTGCTTTCGGTGTCTTTGTCATGAAATCTTTGCCAGTTCCTATGTTCGGAATGCTGTTGCCTAGGTTGTCTTCTAGGGTTTTTATAGTTTAGGATTTTACATTTAAGTATTTAATCCAACTTCAGTAGATGTTTGTATATGGTGCAAGGAAGAGGTCCAGTTTCAATCTTCTGTGTATTGCTAACCTGTTACCCAGCACCATTTATGGAATAAGGAATGCGAAAACCGCATGTTCTCACTTAATAGGTGGGAGCTAAATGATAGGAACTCATGGACACAAAGAAGGGAACAAAAGACACTGGGGCCTACTTAAGGGTGGAGGATGGAAGGAGGGAGAGGATCAGAAAAAAGTAACTATTGGGAACTAGCCTTAGCATATAGGTGATGAAATAATCTGTACAACAAACCCCCATGACACAAGTTTACCTATATAACAAACTTGCCCATGTACCCCCAAGCCTACAATAAAAGTTACAAAAATAATTGACTCTCATTCCAGAGAGGTCCTGCCTGATACATGGAAGGAAGAAATGCTACAACAGAGAGGCCAAGAAGAATCTGAAGAGACAGGCCTTGCTGGGTTTTCTCACTATTACCATTAGGTCATATACCTTGTCCAGTCACATTTCTACATGCTGTCACGCTTCCATGAGAAAACAAAAAAACAAACAATTTTCTGGAAAAACAAACAATTTTCTCTGGTTCTTTGAGTCTTCATTCCTGAAGGCTCCATGTCACATAGAATTTTGATTAAATTAATCTGTTATGCTTTTCCCCTGTTAGTCTGTCTTTGTCAGTTTTATGTCAGACCTAGCCAGGAACCCTAGGAGGGTTGAGGAAACTTTTCCTCCCCTATGTCTCTGACTTTAATTCAGTTTATTCCACCTCCAGCATAGGAGTAAACCAGTTCTATAATTGTTAATCCATACCTCCATGAGAAACAACTTTAGCAATTAAAGTACGGTATTTTTGTATGATTTATTTTTAGCTTTAGGGCTTCTGGTTAGCACATTGTTTTTCCACATTACTTAGCTTGGCTTTCCCCCCCACCCCCATCTCCTTTCAGTGAAGTAAAGTCATACATTTATAATAAAATTAGATTTTTTTCACAGTCTGTTTAATTCTGGAATTCCCCTGTACTCTTGGTTGATCATTTTTAATTTGTATGTGATACATTCAGTCTTTGCTACGTGTAGTTCTATGAGTTTGGACAAATGCAGGCATATGTTCACCAGCAGAGCACCATAGAAAATATGATTCATCCTAAAATTTCCCTTTGCATGCTTTTTATAGACAACCACTTCCAACTCCCCCAACCCTTGGAAATCACTGATGTTTTTACATTTCTATGTTGTATGAATGGAATGACGATATGTAGCCTTTGGGTTTTCCTTCTTTCATTATTAAAAACCACTGTCCCACTGCTGGCTGCTGCCACCAGGGCCAAATCACAAGCCATTGGCAGTGATCCTGCACCCTGGTCACCTCAATAGCAGGGCCTCTGTGCATAGTGACCCACGGTCGCCACCTGGGGCTAAAGCACATGCTGCCCAACTGAACTGAAAAGAACCCAGCAAGACCACTGAGCAACCATTGCCACACACACCCAAGCATTCCACTGGGGGCCTGAGGATCACCCTGTCCCTGCGTACCACAGCCAGCACCACATGCACGACCAAGGCCCCGAGAAAAGGGCCATACAGCCCAGCTTCACCCCTCTGAGCTCTGGAGCTGTTGGTCTGAGGCCCTGTGGATCACTCTGCTCTATCCTCCATCACTGGGGGGCACCTGAGCACTCCTCCTGGGAGCCTGTTTTTGCTCTGGTTTTATGCATATTTGCATTGACATGTGGTAGAAAAAAATGCATGTAGAATAAATGAATACATTAATTTATTCACATTTTTGTGAAAGTGCAAATACAAGAAGCAGAAACTTTAGATGTCAGAGAGACAAACATACAAATAATAATTAGCCTGAAATTAGTCTTCTTATATGAAAAAAGAGTAGAAGTCAGCAGACAGTAGACTGATTTCTTCAAGTCTCAAGGAAAATAAATATCAATTCGGATTTCTATACCCAGATGAACTACCATTTGAATAAGAAGGCAAATCAAGACATTATCAAATTTACAAAAAAATAAAGTTTACAATTCACAGGTGCAGAATTACAGTGAAAATGTTTCAATAAGAGGAAAGAGATGCTATATATTACATTGGGGAATTTAGAAGAAAAAATAGAACATGTTTTAGAACTCTGCTTTTCTGTTTTTGGTCCTGCTTATCTGCAGCAAGATTGCTGTCTGTTCTTCTGTCCTGCGTTTTGATAGGGATAATGAGATAGGGCCTGCCGGTACAAAAGCACAAAGGGGAGATGTACAATCGGGATACATATTAAATAAGATTCCCTAAAAGCTGACCCAGAGTCAGTGGTTTAAATCCAAGTAGTTTATTTGGGGGTTAATAGCAGAAAGCACTGGTAAGGTAGCAGGAAAGAGAGAAGAAGGAAAAGTCAATACAGGGTTTCCCTTGTGCATAGGTAACATCTGTGGACATCTGAAGTTCCATTGTACTAAGAACTATGTACAAAGAATCCTCAGATAACATCTGGAAAGTAAGGAATCTGGAGAATTTTTGGCTCTACTTCCTCTGACATTTACTGATGACAGCTGCCAGAGGAATGAAATGACTCACATGTGAGCTGATCATATTTGTACTGCAAAATAAGCCCTCAGCTCAAGAATTACAGACTATTAATAATTTTTAATAATATGCTTTGGCCATCACAGGGGCAATGAATACCAGGGGAGAGTGGGTAAAGTACTAACAGTGTTTGCTGCAGGAAAGTAATTCCAAGAATAAAAGAAGCCCTCTGCTTAAAGATCTGAAAAAATTTTGAAATGGCTTACCAGGATTAAGGCAGATTTTAATCTTCTGCCTTATACAACTATGTTATATTTTTCTATTCATCATAAAAAGGAAGGAAAAAAGATATTATTTATCAATCTCCTAAAATTTCTAGTAGCCCGATATTTAGTTGTAACACCTAAAAATTGGAAAGGTGAAAAACAAAATAAAAACATGGTAGGCAGAATATAAAATAAAATTTCAGAAATAGATTTCAAATATCAATAATCATAACAAATAATTAAACAAGCCACTCTTGATTTTTTATAAATGAGACCTTAATAAAAATGAGGGGGAAAAAGAAATGACAGTAGACACTCCAAATATACATATGTGCTAAACAACATACTTCACTATGTCCCTGCATGCAGTTTAATTGCTTGTTCCTTGATAAGGAGGATGAGGAGAAGCGATTGCCCTCATAGGAACCCTATTCCCCAGAGAGCTCCATGCGCATATAATTTTCTCTTGATTCCCCTTCATTAGGCTCTGAAATTCCATTGTGAACCCACATGACATTATTTTAAAGAGACAAAACTCTGAGCAGAGCCTCCAGTCAACATTTATTGAAATGACGCTAAGCTAATTCTTTTATTACACAGCAGCCTCTCTCCAAACTGAGCATTTACAGTGGGTCTGCAACCACAGGCAGGAAAAACACCCCAAGAAAAATATTATGTTGCTTAATGTTGAAAGGAAAACACCTTACTAAAGTACTTTCCAAACTCACCTTTATTTGCTATTTGGCAGACACAATTCTGTAAAGTATGTGGAATTTTTAATTTTATTATTTTTATTCCACAAATAAGGAAACCGAGCTGAATAGAAGATAAATAATTCTTTTGTGTACACAGATAAATCCACAGTACATATAAGACTTAAAGCCAGGCTTTCTAGTTACATGTTAAGGATCTTGTCTCTATTTTCTTTGTGCCTCAGGAATCTTGGAATCTTTTAACCAGTAAATGAGAGAAGTTTCTCCAATATTATTTATGTGTTCTTCCAGGGATAAATTTCTGATTGCAGACTCACAATTCAGGAATGCCTTTTCCTTCTTTTCAAGAAGCAAGATAAGTTTTTATAATCAATAGGCAGTAGTTCCCCCTCACCCAGTGTTTCACTTTCTGAAGTTTGGTTACCTGAGGTCAGCTGCAATGCAAACATATTAAATTTCCTTCTGGAAATTGAATCATCCCTGTGTCCAACCTATCCAGATATGCTACCTGCATGTAGTTTAGTCACTCTCTTGGTTATCAGATCGACTGTCAGAGTATCACAGGGCTTGTGTTGGAGTAATTTTTATTTTACTTAAAAAAATGGCCACAAAGTGCAAAAATAGTGATGCTGGCAATTTAGATTTGCCAAAGCAAAGTCATAAAGTGCTTCCTTTACTTAAAAAGGTGAAAGTTCTTGACTTAACAAGGAAAAATAACAAATTGTATGCTGAAGTTTCTCAGATCTACAGTAAAAATGAATCTTCTATCTGTGAAACTGTGAAGAAGGAAAAATGAATTCATGCTAGTTTTGTTGCCACACCTCACACTACAAAAGTTACAGCCATAGCGTGTTGTAAGTGCTAGTTAAGATTTAAAAAAAGGCATTAAATTTTGGGGTGTAAGACATGAACAGAAACATGTTTATACTGATGATAATTGGATTTCGTACTATCCACAGTTTCAGTCATCCACTGGGGGTATTGGAAAATATCCCCTGCAGAAAAGAAGGAGCTACCTCAATAAATAGAATTCATGTAGAAGCAGTGTGCAGCTACATCTTCTGTGAGTTTTTGAGCCCAGATCTGGCTAAAAAATTTTTCTTAAACTTTGACATGGGGTCTAGGATTCAAATGCAAAAAAACATTTTATTCAGGAGATAGTACAGTGATATTTATGAAATGACATGCTACTTTTCTTAACAAGATAAGCAAAAACTTAAGATAGATGATGGTTTCTTTGAATAGGTGGTAAATTCATCCTGTTTATATGTGTTAGCCTGTCATGGAAAGGATAGCTCACCCAAACAGAGTGAAATGACAAATATTTACATTTCAGAAGAATCACCATGAAACTACCAAGATTCTTACTCATTTTCACTTATATGTCCACAATCTCATACTTTCCTTATTTGTTCATCTAGAACATCTAGCATGCAGCGATTAAAGAAACAGTCAGTGGAATCAGTTAAATGTGGGTTTGTAGCATGAATATTTTGTACTAGGTGTGGAATTTTAGGAGGACATCTAACCTTTGAATCCTCCATTTCCTTAAGTGCAAATGAGGTTATATAAGTATATGTCTGTATGTGTGCATACACTACCGCCCTCCCCCTCAGTTACCTATATCTATCTTCTTAGTATATAATTATCTCTCTATCTATGAGAAAAACTACACATAAGCAGTATATTTAACCTGCTACTAATCTTGGTTGATCTGTTTTGGGAGATGGATACATTCCAGGTATGTGAACTTCGATGTTAATACCTCTTCCTGCACCTCTGTGACAGATATACAGTTAGAAAATTGGTCATGTGATCTGAGCAGATGGCTCAGTCAACAATCTCTAACTCTATGGATAATTCACCTACTATATATTGTTTTTATATCTACTGTGGCAGCCTAAATAATGGCCAACAAAGAATCTGCATCATAATCCCTGGAACCTATGAATATGTTGCCTTAT
Organism: Homo sapiens; assembly: GCF_000001405.40. Taxonomy (NCBI): domain Eukaryota; kingdom Metazoa; phylum Chordata; class Mammalia; order Primates; family Hominidae; genus Homo; species Homo sapiens. The sequence continues at coordinate 58,391,456 of NC_000011.10, read as the reverse complement.
ATGGTAAAAGAGACTGCACACATGTGATTAAATTAAGGATTTTCAAATGTTGAGATTATCCTGGATTATCCAGGTAGGCCCAATGAGAATATAGGTACATATAAAATTATGTGGGTGAGGTATTGACAAACACAAATAATTTAAGATCTGAACATGTAAAATAATGTGTTATTGTATTTAGGGGGTAGGAAAATGATAGAGAAAAGTAGTTACCAAAGAATAGATCCTTCCCAAGGATTTAAATACAAATACAGTAAAAATACTTAAAACACCTTGAATGTGCTCATGAACTGATCTGAAGATTAGTGTCATGCCCCAACTGAGAGGTGACAGTGTGCTGGCAGCCCTCACAGCCCTTGCTCGCTCTCGGCACCTCCTCGGCCTTGGTGCCCACTCTGGCCGTGCTTGAGGAGCCCTTCAGCCGGCCGCTGCACTGTGGGAGCCCCTTCCTGGGCTGGTCGAGGCCAGAGCCGGCTCCCTCAGCTTGCAGGGAGGTGTGGAGGGAGAGGCACAGGAGGGAACTGGAGCTGCACATGGTCCTTGGGGGCCAGCACGAGTTCCACATGGGTGTGGGCTCGGCAGGCCCCGCACTCAGAGCGTCCAGCCAGCCCTGCCAGCCCCGGGCAATGAGGGGCTTAGCACCCGGGCCAGCAGCTGTGGAGGGTGTGCTGGGTCCACCAGCAGTGCCAGCCAACGGGCGCTGCACTCAATTTCTCACCAGGCCTTAGCTGCTTCCCCACGGGGCAGGGCTGGGGACATGCAGCCCACCATGCCTGAGCCTGCCCCGCCCCTCCATGGGCTCCTGTGTGGCCCCAACCTCCCCCACGAGTGCCACTGCCTGCTCCAGGGTGCCCAGTCCCATCCACCACCCAAGGGCTGAGGAGTGCGGGCACATGGCGGGGACTGGCAGGCAGCTCCACCTGCCGCCCAGATATGGGATCCACTGGGTGAAGCCAACTGGGCACCTGAGTCTGGTGGGGAACCTTTATGTCTAGCTAAGGGATTGTAAATACACCAATCGGCACTCTGTATCTAGCTCAAGATTTATAAACACACCAATCAGCACCCTGTGTCTAGCTCAGGGTTTGTGAATGCACCAATCCACACTCTGTATCTAGCTACTCTGGTGGGGACTTGGAGAACCTTTGTGTGGACACTCTGTATCTAGCTAATCTAGTGGGGAGGTGGAGAACCTTTGTGTCTAGCTCAGGGATTGTAAATGCACCAATCAGCACCCTGTCAAAACAGACCACTCAGCTCTCTGTAAAATGGACCAATCAGCAGGATGTGGATGGGGCCAGATAAGAGAATAAAAGCAGGCTGCCCGAGCCAGCAGTGGCAACCTGCTGGGGTCCCCTTCCACACTGTGGAAGCTTTCTTTCACTCTTTGCAATAAATCTTGCTGCTGCTCACTCTTTGGGTCCGCACTGCCTTTATGAGCTGTAACACTCACCGCGAAGGTCTGCAGCTTCACTCCTGAAGCCAGCGAGACCACGAACCCCACCAGAAGGAAGAAACTCCGAACACATCCGAACATCAGAAGGAACAAACTCCGGACACGCCGCCTTTAAGAACTATAACACTCACCGCGAGTGTCCGCGGCTTCATTCTTGAAGTCAGTGAGACCAAGAACCTACCAATTCTGGACACACAACCATGGACTTTCAACCTTCAATATATATAGTTAAGCTAAGTATTGATAATAATGACAGTAAGACTGAATCCAAGATTGAAGGGGAGCCTTTCATCACAAACTAAATTGTGGACCACAGGGAAGATATTAGGTAAAAGAGGTCTTGAAAATCCCTGGGATCTCACTAAAAATGGCTGGCACAGCCACTCATGCGGGAGATGAAGAACAGAGTGAGAAATACTGGAGGAAAGAAAAGAGACCTTAGACATAGTGTGTAGGGAAAGGCAAATCATAGAGTAAGGCTACCAGACATCAAAACCACCCACCTGCATGTTGCCACCTACCTTTCCTAAACTAATATAAACAGTGACATTTTATCCTAATAATTGTATAAGTGCTCACACCCGTTAGTATTATGCTTAATACCCACTTTGTGCTTTTTCATGCATTATCTCATTTAGTTCTTACAATAATCCCTAGAGCAGGTCCCAATACCACATTCATTTGATTGATGGATAAAATGAAGCTCAGAGAACTTCATTTAGGAGCAATGTCTCCCAGGTGATGAACAGTAGGACTTAAATGTGAGTGCAAGTACACTTCTTTTCATAGTCCAAACTTTTATGCCCAATGGTGTAATTTTCCTTAGAATTGACTGTCAGTGTTATACATGGCTCTAATATTGTATTTATCCCATTGCATTTACTGTGCATTTAGTTGTGAATTGCTCTACTATGCAACCCCATGCACTAAGCTTGGTATAGTGGAGACAAGTAAATGTAAACTAAATAAAATTAAAATCAATCCTATTCTATTAACAGCGTTTGGGTTGGAAACCACTCTGGGTATAAAGTTTGAATTTTTAAATCAATAAATGTGTAACCTTGAATAAATTACTCAGTATCTTTGTTGCCAAATTACCAGATAGAGTAATAGCTCCTCAATCTAATGGAGTTGATGGGAGGATTAAATGACTATATACAAATAAATCACATAGACTACAGAAGTGTAAAGCTGTTAAAGGTTCAAAAGACCTGATTTGGGAGATGGATTTATTTCAGGCATGTGACCTTGGACAACTCCTTAACTCTTCTGTAACTCACTTTTAAGAAGTTGGGAAGATGATTCATGAAGACCATTTCCTCTTCCAAAGTCTATTGCTGTTTAGATAAGTTAGCCACTAATTGCACTGCCATTTCTAAGTCTCAGATATGAGGAATATTGGAGAACAAATAATTGCTATCATAACATAGGCTACATGTTTCCATTTATGTGCAAGTCTTTGTTGCTCATCACTCTATTCCATCATCTCTCTTTCCTACAGAGCATCCCATGAGTCTCAAACCACATCTATAGATGATAATACAGAGGTAAATGAATTCATATGACTAGGACTAACCAAAGCCCCAGAACTACAGGTCCACCTCTTTGTCTTATTTAACTTCATCTACCTCTTCACTCTGAGTGGGAACCTGGGGATGATGCTGCTGATCCTGCTGGACTCTCGTCTCCACACTTCCATGTACTTTTTCCTCAGTAACCTGTCTCTGGTGGACTTTTGCTACTCAGAAACTGTCACTCCAAAGATGATGGCTGGGTTGCTGATAGCTCACAAGGTCATCTCCTACAATGTATGTGCTGCTCAGATGTTCTTTTTTGCAGTCTTTGCTACTGTGGAAAGTTACTTCTTGACTTCAGTGGCCTATGATTGCTACAGAGTAATGTGTAAACCCCTACATTACACCACCACCATGACAACAAATGTGTGTGCTTCTCTGGCCATACATGCATGTCTTAGGTTTACTGACTGCTGCTGTTGACATTGGAGACATTTTATGTCCAATGAGATCCATCACTTTTTCTGTGATATTCTGGCAGTCATGACTCTGACTTGCTCTAATAAACATATTAATGAGTTGATCCTTGTTCCTACTTCAAGCTATATTTTTTACCCTCCTAGTTATCTTGATTTCCTGCTTGTTTGTATTTGTATTTGTCACCATTTTAAAGATGCTCTCTTTAAGTATACAAGAAGGTTTTATCTACCTATGGTTCTCACCTCACTGCAGTTCCTTTATTTTATGAGACTGTCCTCATCACATATGTGCAGCCAAGTTCTATCATTTCATGAACACAGAAAAAATTGTATCTGTGTTTCATATTATGGTTATCCCCATGCTAATCCCTGTGGTTTATAGCCTGAGAAACAACGAGGTCAAGAGTGCATTCAAGACTGTTTGTTGAGGAAACAAAATATTTTCTGGGTTTAGTCTTTTAATAATGTAAAATCCATAAAAAGTCATTCTATCCCTCTTAGATCCACCTTATGCAATAGCTTTCTGTATTATATTATATTATTATATTATTAATTTCTTTAGTTGAGAAATAGCTCTAAGCATGCGAAATAGAGAGAAATATGATACTGGTTTTAATAGAGTATAGTTTTTTATTGGCACATTTTATCTAAATATAAATAATTACAGTATCTTAATATTAATGTTTCAGTCATTATGTAGTGATTTGGTGAGAGAAAGCATATTCACATGACAACCTTGAAAAGATAGTCAAATTAGAATAAAAGCAGAGAAAATATTGTCATCTTTTACCTTACCCATATGACTACCAACTTCACATTTTGTTTTTTAAAAAAGCATTGATATTAATAATAATGCTATTCTCTTTTTTGGCAGTAAATGTTTTGAAATTGTTGTGCCACCATCGTTGCTTTGGTTGGGCCCACATCTCTAGGCATGCTCTTGTCTTAGGAGCTCTTTATTTGCTGTTTCCTCTGCTCAGAAAATTTCCATACTCATTTAATATTGTTGCTTAAATGTTAACCCACCCAGGCAGATCATGCCTTTCCTGAACTACTTCATAATATAGCCTCTCCCCTCCCATGGACCTTCTTTCCTCAGCCTACTTCATTCTTCAAAATCATTATCAACATTAAACTCCGGTATTATTTGTTCACCTGTTTATCATATCTTCGACTTGAATGGAAATTCCCTATGAGTGGTCACCTAATCTAGTTATTTTACTGTAACAAAGCTATGAGGCTTGAATTTAAAATTCTTGTATGGCACACATATACCTCTGTAACAAACCTGTGTGTTCTGCACATGTATCCCAAAACTTAAAGTAAAATTTTAAAAAAAAAATTTTAAACAAATTTACAAGAAAAAAACAAACAACCCCATCAAAAAGTGGGTGAAGGATATGAACAGACACTTCTCAAAAGAAGACATTTATGCAGCCAAAAAACACATGAAAAAATGCTCACCATCACTGGCCATCAGAGAAATGCAAATCAAAACCACAATGAGATACCATCTCACACCAGTTAGAATGGCAATCATTAAAAAGTCAGGAAACAACAGGTGCTGGAGAGGATGTGGAGAAGTAGGAACACTTTTACACTGTTGGTGGGACTGTAAACTTGCTCAACCATTGTGGAAGTCAGTGTGGCGATTCCTCAGGGATCTAGAACTTGAAATACCATTTGACCCAGCCATCCCATTACTGGGTATATACCCAAAGGACTATAAATCATGCTGCTATAAAGACACATGTACACGTATGTTTATTGCGGCACTATTCACAATAGCAAAGACTTGGAACCAACCCACATGTCCAACAATGATAGACTGGATTAAGAAAATGTGGCACATATACACCATGGAATACTATGCAGCCATAAAAAATGATGAGATCATGTCCTTTGTAGGGACATGGATGAAATTGGAAATCATCATTCTCAGTAAACTATCGCAAGGACAAAAAACCAAACACTACATGCTCTCACTCATAGGTGGGAATTGAACAATGAGAACACATGGACACAGGAAGGGGAACATCACACTCTGGGGCCTGTTGTGGGGTTGGGGGAAGGGGGAGGGAGAGCATTAGGAGATATACGTAATGCTAAATGACGAGTTAATGGGTGCAGCACACCAACATGGCACATGTATACATATGTAACAAACCTGCACATTGTGCACACGTACCCTAAAACTTAAAGTATAATAATAATAAAATAAAATAAAAAATTAAAATTAATAAAAAATTAAAAAAAAGAAATTCTCCAAACCATTTGCTTTTCACCTTGTAGCCAACTAAGGACTGACAAATGTACCTGAAGACCAATTATTGTTTCTACCCCTTCCAAAAGTCTTATCTTAATAAGATGGTTGCCAATGATTCACTGGTTCAGTATTTATTCCATTTTACTCAATGAGCTTACTGTCCCTTCTAACACACTTGCAATCCTGCTGAAGTAAAAATAATAGAAGATGGTTTCCTTGCTGCAAGTTTATTAATAAATTGCCTTTATTTTGTGCTAGACAGGATTTTGTGTTCAACACACTTCAGAAATGGTAATGAAGAATAATGGATAAGAAGAGAAATGCTGAAGAGATTACACCAGCAGCCAAGGAAAACAATGGAAAATGGAGTTTTCCCCAGAGAAAAAAATCAGGGTCTCATAAAAAAATATATATCATTACTTGGGTGAGGGACTTTCATAATGCCAATTCTGTAAGATTTTAAAACCAACCAGTGTGCCTCCCATTACTGTCTTGTATACATGGGGATGACTTTTTTCTGTGTGTGTGTGTGTGTGTGTGTGTGTGTGTGTGTCTGTGTATGTGTTTGCTAATTATCTTTACTCTGGTATGACTTTATGTATTGGATGTGAATGTAGAAGGAGCTAAATTTTCTTTTTGGTTCATAAATTGCTGAACCACAAGGAGCCACATCCTGATTATGTGGAGAAGACCATTTAACCTGAGGTTGAGCTTGTATGGTGACTAGTTGGGATTTAGGTGGTCTCTTTGGGGGAGGTAGATAATATGTTCTTTCTGTGGGAAGAAGTATAAAGTGGATATTGGATGATCATAAGTATTACAATGGAAAAGACTGGTAGTTGTTTTCCAAACTATTTTATTTTTACTGTACTCATACCTAGGCTGTTTCTCAGCCTTTATGCAGTACTTTGTGGCTATGTGATTGTATTTTTGACAATCCAATTTGTGAAGTCATATATGCCATTTCAACTCTGGCCCATGATACTCTTCATGTAGTCCTCTGTATGCTCTCTTTGTCACCATCTGGAGAGACAAAATTCAGACTACGGGGGATAATGGAATCACTTAGTGAAAAGACCTGGGTCATTGAATCTCTGTGTGAATTCCTATAGAACAATTAATTGAATAACCTGTGGGCAAGAAAATCTTCTATGATCATGCCACTGTAATTTCCGAGTTTACTTGTATGGCAGCTAGCGTTATTTATCCTAACTAATACAGACAGACTTTCATAATACAATCTGGATACTGTTTGTAGGTAATGGGGCTGGACAGCATATAACGGAAAAAGTGTCAAATTTCTCCATCACAATTTAATTCCACAATTGTTTATTTTTAAATCCTTATCCATTCTCCAAGTCATGACTAAAATGACAAGCACAAATAAAAGTACACAGATTTGAAACACAGAATAAAGCTGCATATGAATTCCATTTCAACAAAGCTTTGTGACAAGTGTCAAGTTAATTAAATGTTCTGAGATTCTACTTGTGAAAATACCACCTACTCATAGAATTATTTTGAATGGGTACTGAATGAGTGAGAACACAGCACAGTGCCTGAAACAGAATAGCTGTTCAAAATATGTTAGTAATTACTTCTCTCTATTCCTTTTCTTATTCTTATGTCATTTCATCACCTAATTTGTCACCCTTCTCCATAGAACTATTGAAACACTTATTAATTATATAGATTCATTTTTATAAATGTAGCTGCACTACTCAGTCATTATTCTCAGATATTAGTCTGATCTGATGTTGATTACATGGAAGGACTCAAGAGTGTCTAATAAAATGGCAACTCAGTGAAGGAACAAATTTACATATTAAATGTTAAAAAGGCCTATCCAATTTTATCTCTATTATCTGTTCCTTCATAATATTGATCACAATACAAAGTTATCTATTTGTGTGTGTTTACTTAAATTTGTTTTTCAACAAGAATAAAAGCTTGATGCATACAGGAACAATTTCTGACTTGGTCACTAACAAAGATTCATGCCTGGAACAGAGTTGGGGCTCAGTAAAAGATTTTAGTGAATGAGTAAATGAATAATAAGGAGAACTAATAGGAAAAACTCATCATCTGTTTGTAGAAAACAAGAAGATAGGTAATAAAAGATGCTAGATTTTACTGCAGTAACACATTAAGTGAAAACCCAATGGTTTAACACAACAAAGATTTTGTATTAGTTCCCTTTGGTTGTGACAAATTACCACATGCTTAGGGAAGTAAAACAACACATTTTATTTTCTTACAGTTTTGGAGGTCAGATGTCCAAAATCAGTTTCACTAGAATGAAACCAAGGTATCAGTCTCCAGAATCTCTAGGAAATAATCAGTTCCATGCATATTTCATCTTCAGGTGGCTGCCAGCATTCCTTGACTTTTGTCTGCATCAGTCTGATCTCTCCCTTCGCAGTCAGGTTCTTTTCTCCATTTTATGCCTATGCAATTTTTCCCTGACTCCACCTTTTTAATTTATATGAAATGTCCATAAAATAAAATTGATTATTTAAAAGTATATAATTCATTGATATTTAGTACATTCATAAAGTTGTGAAACCATCACATATATCTAATTTCAAAAGTTTTTTTTACTCACAAAGAAGATTCCATACTCATTAAGCAGTAGTCCCTCATTCCCTCAGCCCCCTGACCCTGGGGACCAATAATCTTATTTCAATCTCTATGGATTTACCAATTCTGTATAGATCACATAAATGTAATCTCATAATATGTGACCTTTTATGTATGATTTATTTTACTTTACAGAATGTTTTCAAGGCTCATTCATATTGTAACATGTATTAATATTTTATTTTTACAGCTGAGTAATATTTAATCATACATATGTACTACATTTTGTTCTTCCATTCTCAGTTGATGAACATTGGGGTGTTTTCACCTTTGAGCAATTGTTAATATTTTACTAATGATGCTATGGATATTTGTGGGAAAGCATTATTTGAAGAACTGTTTTTGTTCTTTAAGTAGATAACAGGAAGTAGGATGGCTCATGCATATGGTAATTTGAGTTTAACTTTTGAAGACTAACAAATTGTTTTTCATATCAGCTCTACAATTTTACATTTCCACCAGCAATTTATAAGGGCTCCAATTTCTCTACATCCATGCCAATATTTGTTAGTTTCCATTTCTTTTTCAATAGCCATCCTAATGGATTATAAAATAGTATCTCCTGGTAGTTTTTATTTAAATTTCTCCTGATAAATAATGATATTGAGGATTTTTTATGTATTTATATAATTTGCAAATGTTTTTCTAATTCTGTAGATTTCCTTTTCACTTTTTGATAATGTACTTTGATGCCCAAAAGTTTGTAATTTTCAAATACAATTTATCTATTTTTGAAAACATAACAGCAATATCTCACCTTAATGAAGACCCTATTTAAAACACTTCACACACAGTGAATCATTTGATTCTCTTGACAATCATACAAGATACAGTTTTTAAATCTCCATTTTATGGATGAGGTATTTGAGACACAAAAAATCTAAGACACTTGCCTAAGGTTGCACAGCATATGTGACAGAGCCCCACTTGTAAATATTTACTCTATTGCCCCTGGAAAGAACATACTACTTTATTCCCTTGATATATTTTTAATAGTATGATTTTAATCTTTAATTTTTATTATTTTTGAGCCTTAATGTGTCCCTTTCTTTTTATTAGTATTTTAGTTGAAACATAACAATCGTACATTTTTATGGATACAGTGTATTCTGATGCATTTATGCAATGTGCAGTGATCATATCAAAGTAATTAGCAAATCCAACATCTGAAACATTTATCATTTCTTTGTGTTGGGAACATTCAAATATCATTTCTTCTAGCTCTTTGAATATGTACAATAAATCCTTATTAACTATAGCCACCCCACAGTGCTATAGAACACTAGAACTTTTTTCTCCTACCTAGCTGTAATTTTGTGTGTTAACCAACCTTTCCTTATCCTCCTTCCTCCCTAGCCTTCCCAGCCTCTAAGAGTCACTAATTAATTATCTAATTCTATGAGATAAACAATTTTAGATTCCACATATGAATGAGAACATGCAGTACTTACCTTTCTGTACCTGGCATATTTCACTTAACATCCTTCAGACTCCTCCATTTGTTGAGGCAAATGACAGAATTTTGTTCTTTTATGGCTGCATAGTATTCCATCGTGTATATGCATCACATTTTTAAATTCAGTCTTCTGTTGATAGACATTTGAGTTGATATTAAATCTTGACCATTAAGAATAACATTGTAATAAACATGGGGTTACAGATATTTTTAGACATACCAATCTCCTTTCCTTTGGGTATATACCCAATGGTGAAACTGCTGGATCATATGGCAGTGGTATTTTTAGTTTTTTTTTTTAAGAACCTCCATACTGTTTTCACAATGGCTATACTAATTTACATTCCCATCATCAGTGTGTAAGAGTTTCCCTTTCTTCATATCCTCATAATTTTTGTGTTTTATCTTTCTGATAATAGCTATTATAACTGGGGCAAGATGGTATCTCATTGTGGTTTTGATTTGCATTTTTCTGATGATTCATGATGCTGAACATTTTAAAATATATGTGTTGACCATTTGTATGTCTCTTTTTAATAAATATCTATTCAGATTTTTTGCCCATTTTTTATATTGGGTTATTTGTTTTTTGGCTCTTGAGTTTGTTGTATATTCTAGATATTACCCTCTCATTGAATGAATAGTTTGCAAATATTTTCACCCATTCTTCATGGTGTCTTTCTACTCTATTCATTGTTTCCTCTGCTGTATAGAAATATTTAGTTTGCTATAATCCCATTTGTCTATTTTTGCTTTTGTTGCCTGTGCTTTTGAGGTTTTCACTATACGATCTTTGCCAAGGTCAATATCCTGAGGCATTTCTTCCAAGTTTTCTCCTAGTAGTTTCAGAGTTTTGAGTCTCACATTTAAGTAATTAATCAATTTTGAGATGATTTTTATATGTGATGAAAGATAGATGTCCAATTTTTTTTACATATGGATATCTAATTTTCCCAGGACCATTTATTAAAGAGACTATCCTTTCCCCCAGTGAGTGTTCTTGGTGTCTTTATTGACCATTAGTTGGCTATAAAATCCTGAATGTATTTACATGTTGTTTATTCTGTTACATTAGTATATGTGTCTACTTTTATGCCAGTACCATGCCATTTTGGTTACTATAGCTTTGTAGTATATTTTGATGCCACATCCTGTGATGCCTCTAGCTTTGTGCTTTTTGTTTAGAACTTCTTTCACTATTTAGGGTCTTTTGTGGTTTCATATGGTTTTTTGGATTGTTTTTTTCTATTCTGTGAAAAAAACATTAAAATTTTAATAGGCATTTCATTAAATCTGTATAGTGCCTTGGACAGTATGGCCATTTTAACAAGACTAATTCTTACAATCACTGAACATGGGATATCTTTCCATTTATTTGTGTCCTTTTCAATTTTTTTCATCAATGTTTTATGGTTTTTCTTGTAGAAATTTTTCACCTCCATGGTTAAATTTATTTGTAGGTTTTTTGGTAGTTATTATAAATAAAATTACTTTGTTTACCTCTTTTTCAGCTAGTCTGTTGTGAATGTGTAGAAAACACTGATTGTTATATGTTGATTTTCTTATCTAGCAACTTCATCAAATTCATTTATCATTTCCAGGTTTTTTATGGTGGAGTCTTTAGGTATAGGATTATGTGGCTGCAAACAGGGACATCCTTCTTTCCAATTTAGATGCCCTTTATTTCTTTCTCTTGCCTAACAGCTCTGGCTAGAACTTCCAGTAATATGTTTAATAGGAGTGGTTAAATGGGTATCCTTCACTTCTTTCAGTTCTTAGAGGAAAAGCTTTTAGCCTTTCTCCATCCAGTATGATGTCAGCTGTGGGTTTGTTATATATGGCTTTTATTGTGTTGGGATACATTTCTTCATGCTTAATTTGAAGATAGTTTTATCATGAAGGGAAGTTAAATTTTATCAATGCTTTTTCTACATCTGTTCCAATTATCACATGGTTTTTGCTCTTTATTCTGTTGATGTGATATAGCATGTTTATTGATTTGCGTATATTGAACTATCCTTGCACCCCTGGAATAAATTCCACTTGATCATGGTGTATAATCTTTTTGATTTGCCGTTGGATTTTGTTTTCTAGCATTTTGTGGAGAATTTTTGCATCTGTGTTCATCAGGGATATTGGTCTGTAGTTTTCTTTTTTGTTGTGTCGTTGCCTGGTTTTGATAAGAGGGTAATACAGCCTCATTGAATGAGTTTGGAAGATTTTCCTCTACTTTAATTTTTTGAAATAGTTTGAGAAGAATTAGTATTAGTTCTTCTTCATTTTTTAATTTCAACTTTCATTTTAGATACAGGGGGTACACATGCAAATTTCTTACATGGGTATATTTCATGATGCTGAGGTCTGGAGTGTGGATCCCTGTCACCCAGGTAGTGAACATAGTACCCAATAAGTAGTTTTTTAACCTGTCCCCCATCCTCTAGTAGTCCACAATGTCTATTGTTTTTATATTTATGTCCATATGTTATCAATGCTTAGCTCCCCCTTATAAGTGAGAACATGTGGTATTTGGTTTTCTGTTCCTGCATTAATTTGTTTCAGATTATGTCCTCCAGCTCCATCCATGTCGTTGCAAAGGACATGATTTTATTCTTTTTGATGGCTGTGTAGCATTCCACAGTGTATATTTACCACATTTTCTTTATTCAGTCTACTATTGATTGTCATCTGGGTTGATTCCATGTCTTTGCTATTGTAAATAGCATAGCAATGAGCATATTTGCAGTGAAGACATCTAGTCCTGGGCTTTCCTTTGGAGACTTTCTTTTCTCTAGAAAACTTTAATTACAGATTTAATCTTTTTACTCACTATTGGTCCGTCCAGTTTTCCTATTTCTTGGTGGTTCAATCTTGGCAGATTGTGTGTGTCCAGGAATTGATCCACTTATTCTACATTTTCCAATTTCTTGGCCTATAGTTGTTCATAATACCTCTAGTAGTTCTCTGTATTTCTGGGGTATATGTTGTAATGTCTCCTTTTAGTTTCTAATTTTATTTACTTGGGTCTTCTCTCTCTTTTTTTTCTTGGTTAGTCTAGCTAAAGGTTTGTCAATTTTGCTCAAATTTTTAAAGCCAACATTTTGTTTTGTTGATCTTTTTAATTATTTTTTGGTCTCAATTGTATTTCTGCTCAGATATTTGTGATCTCTTTTCTTCTGCTAATCCGGCATTTAATTTGTTCTTACTCTTCTATTCCCTTAAGGTATATTGTTAGATTGTTTATATGAAAAAATTCTACTTTTTAAATGTAGGTGTTTATTGTTATTGTTATAAATTTTCCTGTTAATATTGATTCTTCTGTATCCCATAATTTTGCTATGTTTTTAAAGAAATATTAAATTTTTCTTCTTATTTATTGACCCATGGTCATTCAGGAGCACATTGTTTAATTTACATGCATTTGTACATTTTCTGAAAGTTCCTAGTATTATTGATTTCTAGTTTTATTCTATTGTGGAGAGAAAAGATATTTGCTATAATTTTAATTTTAAAATATTTGTTTAAGCTTGTTGTGTGGCCTAACATATGACCAATCCTGGAGAATGTTCCATGAGCTGATAAATGTTTATTCTTCAGCCACTGGATGAAGTGTTTGTCTGATAAGTCTACTTGGTCTATAGTGCAGTTTAAATCTTATATTTATTTGTTGATTTTCTTCCTATATGATCTGTCCTATGCCTAGAGTGGGTGTTGAAATCCCCAAATATTATTGTATTGGAGTCTATCTCTCCCTTTAAACCTAATAATATTTGCTTTATACATCTGGTGCTCTGGTGTTGAGTGCATATACATTTATAATTTAAATCATTTTGTTGAATTTATCTTTTTATGCTTATATAATGATCTTATTTGTCTCTTTTTATATTTTTTGACTTAACATCTGTTTCATTAAATATAATTATAGCTACTCCTACTTACTTTTGGCTTTCATTTGCATAAAAAAACTTTTCCCGTTCCTTCACTCTCAATCTTTTTGTGTCTTTAGTGAAGAAGTGGGGTTTTTTTAGACAGTATATAGTTGGTATTTTTTAAATTCATTAATCCAGTCTATGTATTTAATTGGGATATTCAATTTATTTATGTTTAAAGTTAGTATTGACAGGTGAGAATTTATGTCTGTCATTTTGTTGTTTTCTGGTTGTTTTATATATCCTTTATTCCTTTCTTCTTCTCTTATGGTTTATGTTCATGATTTGGTGGCATTCTATAGTGATAAGTTTTTATTTCTTTCTCTTTCTCCTTTATGTATCGGCTCTACCAGTGAGTTTTATAGTGGTGTATGTGTTTTTGTGATGGTAGTTATCATCCTTTGGCTTCCAAGTGTAGGACTTTCTTAATTTCTAAGACCAGTGTAGTGGCAATGAATTCTCTCAAATTTTGTTTGCCTGAGACTTTATTTCTCCTTCATTTCTGAAGGATAACTTTGCTAGGTACAATATTTTTGGTTGACAGTTTTTTTTGTTGTTGCTTCAGCACTTTGAAAATATCATTCCATTCTCTCCTAGACTATAAGGTTTCTGCCAAGAAATCTGTCCTTAGTCTAGTGGAGACTTACATGTGACTTGGCAATTTTCCCTTTCTGTTTTTAGAATTCTCTTTCTTTGACTTTTGATGATTTGGCTATAATATCTCTTGGACAAGACCTTTTTTGGTTGTGTCTATATGGAGTCGTGGAGCTTCCTGGATCCAGAAGTCCATATCTCTCCCAAGATTTGGGAAATTTTCAGCTATTATTTTTTAAAATAAATGTTCTGCAGCTCTTCCTATCTCTTATCTTTCTGCAGTTACCATAAAGCAAATATATATTCACTATATGATGTCCCATTATTCTTGTAGGTGCTCTTCATTCTTTTTAAATTTTTTTCTAGCTGGGTTATTTGAAAAGTCCTGTCCACATGTTCAGAAATTACTTCTTCTGCTTTATATAGTCTGTTCTTGAAGCTCTTAATTGTATTTTTATTATATTCACTGATTTTTTCAGCTCCTAGATTTTGTCTACTTGTTTCTTATCATATCTAGCTCTTTGTTCAATTTCTAATTTAGATTATGGATTAATTTTCTGATTTCGTTGAGTTTTCTAGCTGTAATCTCTAATATCTCACCAAGTTTCCTTAAGATCATTGTACTTATTTTTTTTGGCATTTTGTAAATTTTCTTTTATTTGGGATCTATTACCAAATAATTATTGTGCTTCTTTGCAGGTGTCATATTCCTTTGTTTTAAAATGTTTCTTTTGTTTCTACTTGGATATTTGTACATCTCGCATAATAGTCACCTCTTTCACTTTTATGGAGTACCTTTCATAGGGAAATAGTCCTGCAGATCAGTCCTAGGATGTCAATTGGGTAAAGTGCATTGGTTTGGTTCTGGGCGGACACAGTAGTATAGTCTCCATGCAGTTCATTCAGCTGTAATTTGCATTAACAATATTTGTTACTGTCTCAGTGGCCTAAGCTGCAGAAGTTTGAGGCAGTGGTGGCATGGCTTTGCCAAGGGTGGGTTTGCTGAGCTTGTTTTGTGTTCAGGGACATGTGCATGCACATGGAGGGCCAGCCAGGTCAGGGACTGACTTTCCAGGGACATATGGCCACTGGCTCTTTCTTTGGCCAAAGATATAAGTGTACAGTTTTTCAACTGACTCAGGGACTAATCAACCATGGAAAGTTCACTAAATTCTTTCTCCAGCCAGGGACACTGGGGGGATCTTGGTGGGGACAGATTCACTAGGCTGTTTGGTGTGGTCAGCCTGGGGTTGGCTTCTTTACTGTACAGGATGGGTGTCACACCTATTCTTGGATTCAGGTTCTGAGTATCTAGGATCATAGCTTTGCGGCCCCTAGTATGGTCTTGGTGGAATGAGAGTGGAGACCCTATTGCTTCTCAGCTTTTTGGCTAAGATCAAGCGGAGAATGGAGCCCCAAGGCTGGAGAGGTACAGTGCTACTGAACCCCTGAGCAAGGCTCACTACAGCAGTGACTCTGGTTGAAAAATTGTGCCATGCCACAGCAGAGTAGGTCACAAGTGAATATGGGGAGTGAAGAGTGGATGATGTTTGCTCATATTGTGAAGTAATGGAGCCATGTACATGCCAAGCAGCTACCCAAACTGAGCTTAGAGCTCGTGAGGACTGTGGGATTCTTCTGTAGTATAAACTACAGCCATCTGCACTGGCAATGGAAACTGTTGGGGTCTTTCTGCTTATCTCTCCCCTGCAATGGGAAGTCCTTTTTGCCCTTGAGCTGATCCTGATGGGGTAGCAGAGACAAAGTCCTTCACTCACTTCTCTATGTTGCTATCCTGGGCTTCTCCTCTCACCAGGAATGTTGCCAGTCCCTTGCTGTACTTCATACTACCCTCAGATGCTGTAATCAAATTTTAGTTATTTATTTATTGTATTGTTCCTTTTTTGTAGGGGAGCAAAAACCAGAAGACACCCTTAGTCAGTCATCATGCTGACATACCAATTTATTTTTTGTTTTATTTCTTGTGTTTTTGATGTCATACATAAGAAACCATTGCCAAATCCAAAGTCTAGAGTATTTACCTTATTTTCTAGTGGTTTTATGTTTTCAGCTCTCATATCTAGGTCACTGATTGTTTTGAATTGGTTTTGTATTTGGTGTGAGGTAGGGGTACCACTTTATTTGTTTATCATAAATATTTAAATGTATATGATATATGTAAATATATCATATATTTAAATCACAACATAATTTTTGTAAAATGATTGCTACTGTCAAACAAATGAACATATCTATCATCTCATATAGTTACCTTTCTGTCTTTTTGGTCTTTCCTTCTTTCCTTTCATCCTTTCTTTTTCCTTTTTTCTTTTTTTTTCAGTGTTTTCTTTTATTATTATATGTTAAGTTCTGGGGTACATGTGCAGAACATACAGGTTTGTTACATAGGTATACATGTTCCATGGTGGTTTGCTGCACCCATCAACCCATCATCTACATTAGGTATTTCTCCTAATGCTATCCCTCCCCTAGTCCCCTGCCTCCATCAGGCCCCAGTGTGTGATGTTCCCCTCCCAGTGTCCATGTGTTCTCATTGTTCAACTCCCACCTATTAGTGAGAACATGCAGTGTTTGGTTTTCTGTTCTTGTGTTAGTTTGCTGAGAATGATGGTTTCCAGCTTCATCTATGTCTCTGCAAAGGACATGAGCTCATCCTTTTTTATGGCTGCATAGTACTCCATGGTATATATGTGCCACATTTTCTTTATCCAGACTATCACTGATAGGCATTTGGGTTGGTTCCAAGACTTTGCTATTGTGAACAGTGCCGCAATAAACATACATGTGCATGTGTCTTTATAATAGAATGATTTATAATCCTTTGGGTATATTGTTGGGCCAAATGGTATTTCTGGTTATCAATCCTTGAAGAATTGCCACAGTGTTTTTAAGGAGGGGTAGACTGTTGGAATATCCTAATTTGCAATTTTTTCTGCCTCTCTTCTTGTAAATACGTTGGTTATGACATTTAGGGCCCACCAAATAATCAAGATAAATCCCCCATCTCAATGCCTTTAATGTAATCACAACTGCAAAGCCATTGTCATATATGGTCCTATTTATAAGTTCCAAGGATTTGGACCTGACATGTTTAGGGACCATTATCCATCCCCTACAGATTTGTTTATTACTTATGCTACTAATAATTTCTGTCTATCACACAAGTTGCCTGGTCAAATAGAAGGCTATGTCTTTGAGGTCACTCAAAACACAATCTGATGACAGCCTTACCATCTTTAGTGCACCTGCTGGAACACGAAGCCGCTTCAATCACCGTGGCAGGAGAGAAACAACTGGACAGTCACATATGTGCTTCAGTCCACCCAGAAATGACACATATTTAGTCTTTTGCAGTCAATTGCCTGCAACTAATACGTATCTTGGTCTAGCTGTAATAGGGCAGGCATATGTAAGAGAGTAGATAGAATGTTTGAAGACCACTATTTTTGTGATCCATGCTGTATCAATATTTATAAATAATAAAATATTAATATTAGTAATCTACCGAACATTTGATATGTGCTAGAAATTGTTCTTTGCTTTGCAATATGTGATATGATAATCTTGGCAATTTCAAAAGGATGAGATGACATTATCTCCTTTCTTACAGAAGAGAAATTAAAGTTAGTGACATTAAATTGCTTACTCAATTTGAAGCAAAACCACCTTAGTACACAGAACACACTTGTAATCACTATACTAGTCTGTGATAAGAAAAGTATTATAAGTCTGCTATGGAATGAGGACTCAGTATAGTCTGAGTAGAGGGAAGAATGGATCTATTTTCTATTTTTTTTTCCAGAGTCTTTTTTCTTTTATTTTTAAAATCTTACTGGTCTTCAGGTGCTCACAATTAGATTAATAATAATCTTTTTTTATTATTATACTTTAAGTTTTAGGGTACATGTGCACAATGTGCACGTTAGTTACATATGTATACATGTGCCATGCTGCTGCGCTGCACCCACTAACTCGTCATCTAGCATTAGGTATATGTCCCAACACTATCCCTCCCCCCTCCCCCCACCCCACAACAGGCCACAGAGTGTGATGTTCCCCTTCCTGTGTCCATGTGTTCTCATTGTTCAATTCCCACCTATGAGTGAGAATATGTGGTGTTTGGTTTTTTGTCCTTGCGATAGTTTACTGAGAATGATGATTTCCAATTTCATCTATGTCCCTACAAAGGACGTGAACTCATCATTTTTTGTGGCTGCATAGTATTCCATGGTGTATATGTGCCACATTTTCTTAATCCAGTCTATCATTGTTGGACATTTGGGTTGGTTCCAAGTCTTTGCTATTGTGAATAGTGCCGCAATAAACACACGTGTACATGTGTCTTTATAGCAGCATGATTTATAGTCCTTTCGGTATATACCCAGTAATGGGATAGCTGGGTCAAATGGTATTTCTAGTTCTAGATCCCTGAGGAATCGCCACACTGACTTCCACAATAGTTGAACTAGTTTACAGTCCCACCAACAGTGTAAAAGTGTTCCTACTTCTCCACATCCTCTCCAGCACCTGCTGTTTCCTGACTTTTTAATGATTGCCATTCTAACTGGTGTGAGATGGTATCTCATTGTGGTTTTGATTTGCATTTCTCTGATGGCCAGTGATGGTGAGCATTTTTTCATGTGTTTTTTGGCTGCATAAATGTCTTCTTTTGAGAAGTGTCTGTTCATGTCCTTTGCCCACTTTTTGATGGGGTTGTTTGTTTTTTTCTTGTAAATTTGTTTGAGTTCATTGTAGATTCTGGATATTAGCCCTTTGTCAGATGAGTAGGTTGCAAAAATTTTCTCCCATTCTGTAGGTTGCCTGTTCACTCTGATAGTAGTTTCTTTTGCTGTGCAGAAGCTCTTAGTTTAATTAGATCTCATTTGTCAATTTTGGCTTTTGTTGCCATTGCTTTTGGTGTTTTAGACATGAAGTCCTTGCCCATGTCTATGTCCTGAATGGTAAAGTCTAGGTTTTCTTCTAGGGTTTTTATGGTTTTAGGTCTAACGTTTAAGTCTTTAATCCATCTTGAATTGATTTTTGTATAAGGTGTATGGGAGGGATCCAGTTTCAGCTTTCTACATATGGCTAGCCAGTTTTCCCAGCACCATCTATTAAATAGGGAATCCTTTCCCCATTGCTTGTTTTTCTCAGGTTTGTCAAAGATCAGATAGTTGTAGATATGCAGCGTTGTTTCTGAGGGCTCTGTTCTGTTCCATTGATCTATATCTCTGTTTGGGTACCAGTATCATGCTGTTTTGGTTACTGTAGCCTTGTAGTATAGTTTGAAGTCAGGTAGTGTGATGCCTCCAGCTTTGTTCTTTTGGCTTAGGATTGACTTGGCAATGCAGGCTCTTTTTTGGTTCCATATGAACTTTAAAGTAGTTTTTTCCAATTCTGTGAAGAAAGTCCTTGGTAGCTTGATGGGGATGGCATTGAATCTGTAAATTACCTTGGGCAGTATGGCCATTTTCACGATATTGATTCTTCCTACCCATGAGCATGGAATGTTCTTCCATTTGTTTGTATCCTCTTTTATTTCCTTGAGCAGTGGTTTGTAGTTCTCCTTGAAGAGTTCCTTCACGTCCCTTGTAAGTTGGATTCCTAGATATTTTATTCTCTTTGAAGCAATTGTGAATGGGAGTTCACTCATGATTTGGCTCTCTGTTTGTCTGTTGTTGATGTATAAGAATGCTTGTGATTTTTGTACATTGATTTTGTATGCTGAGACTTTGCTGAAGTTGCTCATCAGCTTAAGGAGAATTTGGGCTGAGATGATGGGGTTTTCTAGATATACAATCATGTCACCTGCAAACAGGGACAATTTGACTTCCTCTTTTCCTAATTGAATACCCTTTATTTCCTTCTCCTGCCTAATTGCCCTGGCCAGAACTTCCAACACTATGTTGAATAGGAGTGGTGAGAGAGGGCATCCCTGTCTTGTGCCAGTTTTCAAAGGGAATGCTTCCAGTTTTTGCCCATTCAGTATGATATTGGCTGTGGGTTTGTCATAGATAGCTCTTATTATTTTGAAATACGTCCCATCAATACCTAATTTATTGCGAGTTTTTAGCATGAAGCGTTGTTGAATTTTGTCAAAGGCCTTTTCTGCATCTATTGAGATAATCATGTGGTTTTTGTCTTTGGTTCTGTTTATATGCTGGATTACATTTATTGATTTGCGTATATTGAACCAGCCTTGCATCCGGATCTATTTTCTTTAGGAGATAAAAGGATGTTCCCAGGCCATAAATGTGGCAATAAGGAAAATAGGTATGTTTTTCAAAAAAAATATTTTGCTTAGAAGACTCTTGAAACATCTTTGAGAAAGAACAAAAATGACAACTAAATTAAATTAAAATTGAATGTGAAAAATCCTTAAAATACCAAGTGATGGCAAAGATATGAAAAAAATGAAATGCCCTTGGGAATAAAAAATGATAAAGTCACCTCCATAAACAGTTTGAGAGCTTTCTATTCAATTAAGGATATTTACCATGTGAACAAACACCTTAACTTCCAGGTATTTATCAAAATGAAATAAAAACCGATGTCCACACAAAAATGTTAGCCAATACTTAGATCAGCTTGATTCATGGTCAGCAAGCACTAGAAATGACACAAATTGTCTTCAACTCAGAATTTTAAAAAAAACATGTAAAGTTCACGTTATGAAATACTATTTGGCAATTAAAAAAATTCACAACAGACTCACGTAACAAAGGGATGGATCTCAACTGAACTATGCTAAGTGGAAGATGACATAAAAAGACTACATATTCTAGGATTCTAGTAAAAGATATTCTTGCAAAGGCAAAATTTTATGGACAAAAGCAGTTTAGTGGTTGTCAGAAGCACTGACGGGAGAAGGCATTGATCGAAAATAAGCTTGGGAAATTAGGTGATTATGATAGTGGTTACATGACTATATATTTAACAAAAGTCTTAGAAATATACACTACAATGTGGGCATATTATGGTTTCCCACTTACATATTAATTTAAAAGAAACAAGAAATACAAAATAGTAAGTAATACAAAAACACATGTGCACACTCAAAATATCCAATTTGGTCCCCACAGGGAATTTTGTTGTTTCTTCTCTAGGAAAGTGAGAAGAGGAGCTGTAGATAGTCTCATGGGGGACATTCCTTGAGAGGACCATGTCTTTATAATTCACTTCTGGTTCCTATGCATTAGCTTCTGAAATCTATCATGACTCCAGGTGACTTTATTTTAGAGGGACATACTTTCATCCTCGTCCCTTTGATCATCATTTATTCATCTGAATGTTAACAGTTGTTCATACACATAGGCCTTCTCCTGATTTTAAGGTTTCCTATGAGCCTGAAGCCATAGCCAAGGGAGCACTCCGAGATAAAAATTATATCAAATGACTTGAAATGAGAATCCTTTAGTGAGTTATTATACAGGCATTCTCTTATTTGCTATTGACAAGCACAATTCTGTGAATTGTAGGAGAGAGGTAATTTTGTTATGTTTATTTTACAATTAAGGAGGAGATAAGTGTGTTATTGAAGGACAGAAAAAAATACATGATAGATTCACGATCTGAACATGAATTAGTGTTTTCCCCCCATCTTTCTCTGCCTTAGAGACCTTGAAACCATTGACCACTACCTGAGGAAGGGCTTCTCTAACAGAATTTGTGCATGAAAAGATTTCTGATATTGAACTCACTATTCAAGATTGACTTTCACTGTTTTTAAGGAGCAAGGTAAGCTTCTATTCAATATACACCTTTAGTGAAAACTGAATTTATACAATGGCAATAGGATAGCTGTACCTACTATGATGTTTCAAGCACAGAAATAAATGTTCTCAACATTTTTATAAAAAACTGAGGTGAAGCTGGGTTATCAACCTCAAATCTTTAATTAGTTGGAAGTTAGCTGATACTTATGAAATATCATTATGCTGCTCTCCTAAAAAATATAGAAAAAATAGTACAGGTGATATTCTGACTGATTTGGTGGTAATTTCATCTTGTACACTAATTTTATACACCGTATGTTAGCATCTTCTTGGAAGTAAGGAAAAAAAAACAGAAGAGTACAATGACCCTTGTTAAAATACTAAAGGTACTGACCAGGCATGGTGGCTCATGCCTGTAATCCCTGCACTTTGGGAGGCCGAGCCGGGAAGATTACTTGAGGTCAGGAGTTAAGACACCAGCCTGGACAACATGGTGAAACTCTGTCTCTACTAAAATACAAAAATTAGCCGGGTGTGGTGGTGCACGCCTGCACTCCCAGCTACTTGGGAGACTGAGGCACAAGAATCTCTTGAACCCAGGTGGTGGAGGTTGCAGTGAGCAGACATTGTGCCACTGCTCTCCAGTCTGGGTGACAGAGCAAGACTCTGTCTCAAAAAACAAAAAATACTGAAGTACCAAAGGGAAATAAGTTTCAAACTACTTTTTAACATTTTCCCCATAATTTTATTCTTATTACTTCTAGTACATCTATACACATTGACAATGGTATCGCTGAAAGCACTGGCTGCTGATTAGGTCCTAACTGGGTTTAAATTTTGAATCTTCCTCATACTAGCTGTGTAATTGTAAAGCATCCCAAAACTTCATAAATTCTCATTTGCATTAATGGTAAAATAAAAATAATACGACTACCTACCTTATACTGCACACACATGCATAACACAAATATACCCACTTATCATTGGTTGTAGAACATGGTATATGAGAAAAGTGGTCATGTGTGTTAAAGTAGATAAACAGAAAGCCTTCAAGGGGTTGGCTTGAGGAGTGAAGTTGCTAAAGGCGAAGGAGGAAGATGGAAGGGACTAGTAGTTAGCATTGAATGGATATCCTTCCAAAGACTTAATATTAAAATTAAAATAATTAAAATGGTTCCTACGTAAGAACAGATTAAAACAAAATATTTTACTACATGGAGTTTGTCACAAAGACAGATCTGCAGGCTAAAGCAAGACAAAAACTATGAGCTTTCAATCCTTGATTTCTGTGATTCAAATATGGGATGCCACTACTGAGAGAAAGAATGAGTATAAGAAAAGGAGACTGAGTGCAGGCTAAACTATGGATTTCAAAAAAGATATTAAGCAAAAAAACAGCTACATGGGATGGCTAGCACAGCCAACTGTATGGATGCAACAACGAAGAATTATTGAAAGGTACAGAAAATCTCAGTGGCTCTACTGTGTGAGAATAAGCAAAATGATGAAGGAGGTTACAAGACTTCAAAACTCATCCACACCTAAAGATCTGAATGTTATCACTCACTTTTTCATTCTAATAATAATGTAGCTGGCACTCATAAAGTTGGCTAACCATACAACATTTATGCATTGTTTTATGCATTTCACATTTAAATCTCACATTAGTACCTTCAGGTAGATATAATTACTATCTTCATTTTGCAGATAGAGAAAATGAGGTTCAGAGGAGATAGGTAAGGATCAATGATTCCTAGGTAGCAAATGGTAGGGTTGAGCTGATATGCAGCTCTTACCAGAGGTCAAGCTCTATATCCATTTCTGTGTCTTCCCATCAGAATTACCTTTACTGATTATACATGCCCCTACTGTCCCAGTCATCACCATACAACTGCTGTGCAAATCTCTCTCGTTCACTGTGAAATCTCAAACACTGAGTTTGTACCAATGGAGGCGATAAGTAACTGTTTGATTGAGTTAAACAATTTGATGTAGAGACAATTATGAATGTTGTGCTTTCAAACCACTCTGCTTGCGTCCAAAGCTTGGCTTGCCATTAATTTTTATGTAAATGTGAATAAATTACTCAACCTCTTGTGCCTCTCACTCTAAAAGAAAGTAACAACTAATCAAACTTGTTGTTGAGAAGAATCAATGAATATACTTACAAAGTATCTAGAGCAATTCTGTCAGATGGGCAATATACAAGCAAAAGTTTTTACTAGAATAAAAAAACTGAATTGGTATATGTGTGTGTGTGTGTGTGTGTATACATATATACACACACCTGCCATATATATTATTCAGACATGTTGGAAATTTTATATAATTTTCCAAATATTGGTTTACAATGATAGGAAGGTGAAAACTGGTAAGAGATAATCCATGCAGATCTTTTCAATTCAGCAGTTTATAACTCTACAGCTATTTAAGGCATTATACTTTGTAATTAAGTTTATGTTTAGATATATAGAATCTTAAAATGTGTATTACTATAATAATGAAATAATGCACTAATATATAGATGTTTCCATTTCATTGCAATATCTATTCCACAACATGTATTAGCATTCTTTTCCTTTATTTCTCATTGCTGCAGGCATCCTCTGATTTTCTAATAACATTGATGAAGAACTGTACAGAAGTGACAGAGTTCATCCTCCTGGGACTAACCAATGCTCCAGAGCTACAAGTCCCCCTCCTTATCATGTTCACTCTCATATACCTTGTCAATGTGGTTGGAAACCTGGGGATGATTGTTTTAATTGTTTGGGACATTCATCTCCACACTCCCATGTATTTTTTCCTCAGTCACCTGTCTCTAGTGGACTTTTGTTACTCTTCAGCTGTCACTCCCACAGTCATAGCTGGGCTCGTTATAGGAGACAAGGTCATCTCTTACAATGCATGTGCTGCTCAAATGTTCTTTTTTGCAGCCTTTGCCACTGTGGAAAATTTCCTCTTGGCCTCAATGGCCTATGACCGCTATGATGCAGTGTGCAAACCCCTACATTACACCACCACCATGACAACAAGTGTGTGTGCATGTCTGGCTATAATCTGTTATGTCTGTGGTTTCTTGAATGCCTCCATACACATTGGGGAAACATTGTCTCTCTTTCTGTATGTCCAATGAAGTCCATTGCTTTTTCTGTGATGTTCCACCAGTCATGGCTCTGTCTTGCTGTGATAGACATGTGAATGAGCTAGTTCTCATTTATGTAGCCAGTTTCAATATCTTTTCTGCCATCCTAGTTATCTTGATCTCCTACCTATTCATATTTATCACCATCCTAAAGATGCACTCAGCTTCAGGATACCAGAAGGCTTTGTCCACCTGTGCCTCCCACCTCACTGCAGTCATCATCTTCTATGGGACTATTATCTTCATGTACTTACAGCCCAGCTCTGGTCACTCCATGGACACAGACAAACTGGCATCTGTGTTCTATACTATGATCATCCCCATGCTGAACCCCCTGGTCTATAGCCTGAGGAACAACGAAGTGAAGAGCGCATTCAAGAAAGTTATTGAGAAGGCAAAATTGTCTCTATTATTGTGAGTTTAACATTGCAGGATGCATGATACCTAGTTTCATTCCTCTGTTCTGAATTGCATTTTAAGGCCCACATGGAAGTTTCTGAAATAATACCATTACTTCTTCAGAAGTTTGTTCTCTAGGAAAAAAGAAATATTATGTCCAAAAACATAATACCTAAAAGAGAAAGCTAAGGTGAATAGTAAGATATCTTGGGTTTTGCTTGTCAAAAACTTTATAGAACATATTTGATTCATTCACTAATTCTTCATACATGTCCACCACCAAATATTAGGAAAAGCACACATGTAAAACAGGTGCATAAATGGGTCCATGAACATATTTATTCATGTGGGCACATATACACAGGAGTGGGAAATTTGCCAGATTTAAATCGAATATGGCTAACTTTTACAAAAATAATTTAAGTAATTAATTATTTGAATTTCAGTTTATGTATAATATTATTTATTTAGTTGAATAAATGTTTTAGAGTCCTAATTTGAGAATAAATGTGATTTACTTTTAAATAAAAGTACAATCGTCTCTCTGTGTCTCTGCTATGCATCTGCAGATTTAACCAACCATGGATAGATAAATATTTGTAAAAATAATAACAATACAACAATAAAAAGTAATACAAATTTAAAAATTCAGTATAATAACTCTTTACATAGCATTTACATTGTGTTAGGTATTACAAGTTATCTAGAGATGATTTAAAGTATATGTGAGGATTTGCATGGGTTATATGCAAATATGATTATATACGATGCATCAATATCTAGATTCAATAATCTGTTCCATTGATTTGTGTGTCTTTTTCCCAATGCCACACTTATGTGGATTATTATAAGTTATAGAAGGTCATGAAATCAGGTAATGTGCATGCTTCAACTTTATTATCTTTATTAGCTTTGCCATTCCATATAATTTATAATCAGTGTATTCATATTTATTTTTTTAAAAAGGCTGCTTGGATTTAAATTGTGATTGCAAGGAATCTTCAGAGCAGTCAACATAAAGTCTCTCAATTCATGAATATAATATTTCTATACACTAATTTCAATTATTAAAACTTCATTCATCAGGATTCTATATTTTTCTGCACTTTTAAGACATGTATCCTAAATACGCTCAAAGAGCTAAATGAAATCTTGAACAAGAAACTAAAGGAAGCTAGGAAAAAGATATTTCAAGAAATAGTGAACTATTAATAAAGAAACAGAAATTATAGAAAGTAATTAGAAATTCTGGAACAGAAACCAAAAATAGATAAGATAGACTATGGAAAATAGTTTAGTGTTTTTTTGTTTGTTTTTGTTAGTTTGTTTGTTTGTTTTTTATACATAACTGCCATAAGATCCAGCAAATGAACTCCTGGGCATTTTCCCAGAAACATGATTATTTATGTTCACAAAAATAACTGTGTGTAAATGTTTATAGCACCTTTATTTATAGTAGTCAAAAATTAGAAACCATGCTGGAAACCATTCAGATATCCTTCCTTGGGTGAAAGGTTAACAACTTGTAGTACATCCATCACATTGAATACTACTCTCAATAAAAAGGAATAAACTGTTGATACATTCAAAAACCTGGATGAATATTGGGAAGAATATGCTGAGTAAAAACAGCCAGTCTCAAACGGTCACAAAAAATCCAAGGCATAATTCCACATACATAGAACATTTGTGAAATGACAAAATTATAAAATGGAGGACAGATTTTTTTCCAGTATTTAAGAAGGAATGGGGTCATGGCTATAAAAGGTCAGCATGAGGGATCCTTGTGGTGATGGAAATGTTATATATCTTGAATATATTAACTCGTCATTTACATTAGGTATATCTCCTAATGCTATCCCTACCCCCACCCCCACAACAGGCCCCTATGCAGCCAAAAGACACATCAAAAAATGCTCATCATCACTGGCCATCAGAGAAATGCAAATCAAAACCACAATGAGATACCATCTCACACAAGTTAGAATGGCGATCATTTAAAAAGTCAGGAAACAACAGGTGCTGGAGAGGATGTGGAGAAATAGGAACACTTTTACACAGTTGGTGGGACTGTAAACTAGTTCAACTATTGTGGAAGTCAGTGTGGTGATTTCTCAGGGATCTAGAACTAGAAATAGCATTTGACCCAGCCATCCCATTACTGGGTATATATGCACAGGAGAATAAATCATGCTGCTATAAAGACACATGCACACGTATGTTTATTGCGGCACTATTCACAATAGCAAAGACTTGGAACCAACCCAAATGTCCATCAATGATAGACTGGATTAAGAAAATGTGGCACATATACACCATGGAATAATTTAGTATTCCATAAAATGCAGCCATAAAAAATGATGAGTTCATGTCCTTTGCAGGGACATGGATGAAGCTGGAAACCATCATTCTCAGCAAACTATCACAAGGACAAAAATCCAAACACTGCATGTTCTCACTCATAGGTGGGAATTGAACAATGAGAACACTTGGACACAGGAAGGGGAATAAAGGGTTTCTTTAGTGAGTAGGTTATGCCTGAAGAAAACTGGGCCTTAGTCTATCAGGAACCACTGGAAAACTATCAAATATGTCTCAAAGTTATACCACCTGAAAAAGTAGGAATTGGGTTCTTATCACTCTACTTCTATCTATCATGTACTGATTGCTGATACCACAGAAATTAAAATGTTCCACACCACAGAAATTAAAATGTTCCACACATGGGCTGAACCTACTTTTACAGCAAATTCTAAGCCCTAAGTCTGCAAAACGCAAATTTCACATTCTTTATTTCACAATAAGTATTGGCCTGCACATGGACAACACAAGTGAAGAGGGGATGGATAGAACACTAACGATATTTGCTAGGAAATAGTAATTTGAGATAGAAAAGAAGGCCATCCACCTATTTATCTGAATCAAATTTTTGAATTGAATATAAATATTAAGGAATATTCTAATCTTCATTTCTCTGACACCTATGTTATATTTATCAGTTGATTGTAAACACAAGAAAGTAAAACAGGGATTATGTTTATCAATCTACAAATTCAGTTGCTATCAGATATAACAAGTTATAAAATAGAAAGTAGAAAAATGAATAAAAAGAAAACAAAATAAATATTTGACATGTATTACACATCAATAATACAGTAAATATAAATAGATCAACACACTGCTCATGTATGTAATAACAACTTAATAAAATTGGGGGAGAAAAAAGGCATGACAGCAATTACCACAAATAAACATGTATGTGACTCAACACAAACTCTATCACTGGATGCTGTGTAATTGCCTCTTCCCTAGATAAGTGAGATAAAGGAAAGCTATTGCCCTCATAGGGACGCTGTTTCCCAGAGAGTTCCATACATGTACACTTTTCTCCTGGCTGCCAGTCAGTAAGATCTGAAATCATAGTATGGCTCCACATGACGTTATTTAAAATGGATAAGACTCTAACCAGAGCCACTTTAATCTTCATTCATCCAAATGAAAGCTAATACTTTTAGTGCACAATCTGGTCTTTCCTGAAACTGAGAATATTGCAGTGATTCTCCAACCAAAGGCAGAAAAAAACTTCCCAAGATAAAAATTGTATTGGTTCATGATGAAGGGATAACAACTTACTAAGGTCTGTATAGGTCCACTGTCATTTTCTCTGTATAGATACAATTGTGTGAAGTTGTGGGAGAAAACATTTTCTCATTTCTATTCCACAAATGAGGAAACTGAGCTCAGCAGAAAATAAATAAGTTTTTCAAGTTCACAGAAAAACCCATGGTACATGCAAAACCTGAACTCAGACTTTCACAACACAGAAAAATGATACAACATAGAAAAATGACATGTTTGAGTTAGCACTCCATGTTAATAATTCTTTCTCCACCTCTTTATGCCTCAAAAAACTTGAACATTTCTGAAAAGTACATGATAGAGAATTTCTCCAATGTTATTTAGGCATTCTCCCAAGAATGAATTTCTGATTTCAGACTCACAATTGAGAACTGCCTTTTTCTTCTTTTCAAAGAGCAAGGTAAGCCTCTATATTCAATATATACTTTTGGTGAAATATGTAATTGATGCAAAAGCAGTGTGGCAGCTACATCTTGTATGAGTTTTTGAGCTCAGATCTACTTGTTTGAACATTTTTTCTAAAACATGGAAGTGGGTCTAGCATTCATTGTTTAAAAAAAAAAAAGAAAACTTAACCAGCAGATACAGTGATATTTATGAAATGCCGTGCTGCTCTCCCTAAGATGGTAGTAAAACCCTAGGCTGGATGATGCTCTGATTGAGTAGGTGGTAAATGTATCTGGTTTATTATGTGTTGGTTTGTCGCTGAAGGAATAGCTCCCCCAAACAGGGTGCAACAACTCTTCAATAGACTTCAGAAAGATTATTATGACACTACCAAGATCCCTATTCCATTTTTACTATCATTTCCTCACAATCTCACTTTTTCATTACTTGCTAATCTAGAAAATCTGACATTGCAGTGATTAAAGGCACAGAAATTGGAATAGGTTAGACATGGGTTTGAATCTTGAATTTATCTTACTAAGTGTAGAATATGAGGAAGGTACAAAACTCCTCTAATCTCCCAATATTTAACAGCAAATGGGGTTATATATCTGTCTGTATAAATACTCTCTCTCTCTCTCTCTCCATGCTCTGATATCTATGTCTGTCAATCTATCATCTCTCTATCATTCATGAAACAAACTGGTTCATAAGTACAAAGGCTAAGCTGCTAGTAACTTTAGAAGATCTGATTTATAAAATCAATGTATTCCAGATATGTGAACTTGAGAATTTAATACTTTCTCTGCTCCTCTAGTGATTCATATATACAATTAGGAAGTTGGCTATGTGATCTGTGAAGATGTCTCAACCATTTCTGATTCTAGAGATAATTTACCTATGATATATAATATTCATACTCATTATGGCAGCCTTAATAATGTTCCCCAAAGGTGGTCATATCTTAACTTCTGAAACCCATAAACATGTGGCCTTATGTGATTTTTTTACAAACTTCACAGTGATTAAATTAACATGTTGAGATGGTAGGATTATCCTAGATTATCCAGGTAGGTACAGTGAGAACCTTTCAGTTGTCATAGAACATAGTAAATTTTTAAAGAAAAACAATAAAAATTGTAGCTTATATTATTATGTGGGTAGTTTTTTGGCAAACAAATAATTTGAATTCTAGAAGTGTCAACTGATGTGTACTGGGGGCAGGAGAAAAATGATAGACAATCAATAGTGGTTATGAGGAAATGAATGTCCTTCTGACAGATTCAAATTCAAATAAAAAGATTGTGCATAAACACATCTGCAGCCTACAGTCAGCCCCCAAGACTACGAACCTCCAACCCTCAATATCTGATATCCTGCTAAGTGTTGAGAGTAATGACAGGAAGAATGTGTCTAAGATAAAAGGGGATTGTTTCAACACAAGGTAAAATGTAGTTTGAAAGGGAGAAATTAAACACAACAGGACTTGAAGATCCCTGGGTTCTCATGCTAGATGGCTGACACAGTCATTCACCTGGCAAAGAATGGATAGAGTGAGAAATGCTGAAGGAAACAAAAGACTGGACATAGTGTGTAAGAAAATACAGATCAGACAGAGTAAAACTGCCAACTTGAAAACCCACCCACACCTTCAGCCCTGTGTGTCACCTCTATGTGTTCTACACCAACATATGCACCACCATTCCATCCTAATAATAATATTATAGCTAGCACTCATCAGGACTGTGCTGAGTGCCCACATTTTGCCAACAGCTGAGCATTATCTCATTTAACTCTCAAAATAATCTCTTGACATAAGTCCTAATATCATCTTCATTTGACTAATGGATAAAATGAGATTCAAGGAAGTTAGATTAAGACCAGTGTCTCCCAAGTAGTAAATGTTAGGGCTTATGAGTTAATACAAATCTACCTCTTCTTAGAGTCCTAGATTTTATACCCAATGCTATATCTTCTCTGCAGAATTGGCTTTGTTGGTTGCACATGACATTAATGCTGCATTTATTCCACTTCATCTAGTATGCATTTATTTGTGCATTGCTCTACTATGCAACTTCATATGTTATGCTTGGTATAATAGATAGAATGAGTACATATAAATAGATTAACATTTAAAATAATTCAAATTCATTAAAAGAATTTTAATTCTTTTAATTTAGGTTGGGAACCACCCTGATTGTGTCTAAAGCTTGGTTCTATCTACTGGTGCTTGTGTAATCTTGAATAAATTATTCAAACTCTTTTTTTCTACCAAGATACTTCATGTATAAATTGGCAATAATAACTAATTAAATAATAGGATTAATGAGAGAATTCTATGAGGATGTACATATAAAGCATCTGGCATGAGACAACTATAAGTGTGTTTAAGATGTTAGATTCAAAAAACATATTATTTGGGAGATAGATTCACTTCAGGCATGTGACATTGGACAACTCATTATTCCCTTCCTATGACTCCATTTACTCAGACACAAAATTAAGAAGCTGGAAAGATGATCCACGAAGACCCTTTTTCTTCAAAAGTCTATTACTGTATAGATAAGTTATCCACTAAATTGTGTTTTCATATCCATAATTTTGATCTAGGAAATATAGAAAACAAATCATTGCTATAATAAAATAACACATACATTTCAGTTTTGTGCAACTCTGTTTTGTTCATCACAGGGTTTTTCTTTTTTATCTCTCCTTGCTACAGAGTATCTTGTGATTCTAAAATAACATCCATGGAGAATAATACAGAGGTGAGTGAATTCATCCTGCTTGGTCTAACCAATGCCCCAGAACTACAGGTTCCCCTCTTTATCATGTTTACCCTCATCTACCTCATCACTCTGACTGGGAACCTGGGGATGATCATATTAATCCTGCTGGACTCTCATCTCCACACTCCCATGTACTTTTTTCTCAGTAACCTGTCTCTTGCAGGCATTGGTTACTCCTCAGCTGTCACTCCAAAGGTTTTAACTGGGTTGCTTATAGAAGACAAAGCCATCTCCTACAGTGCCTGTGCTGCTCAGATGTTCTTTTGTGCAGTCTTTGCCACTGTGGAAAATTACCTCTTGTCCTCAATGGCCTATGACCGCTACGCAGCAGTGTGTAACCCCCTACATTATACCACCACCATGACAACACGTGTGTGTGCTTGTCTGGCTATAGGCTGTTATGTCATTGGTTTTCTGAATGCTTCTATCCAAATTGGAGATACATTTCGCCTCTCTTTCTGCATGTCCAATGTGATTCATCACTTTTTCTGTGACAAACCAGCAGTCATTACTCTGACCTGCTCTGAGAAACACATTAGTGAGTTGATTCTTGTTCTTATATCAAGTTTTAATGTCTTTTTTGCACTTCTTGTTACCTTGATTTCCTATCTGTTCATATTGATCACCATTCTTAAGAGGCACACAGGTAAGGGATACCAGAAGCCTTTATCTACCTGTGGTTCTCACCTCATTGCCATTTTCTTATTTTATATAACTGTCATCATCATGTACATACGACCAAGTTCCAGTCATTCCATGGACACAGACAAAATTGCATCTGTGTTCTACACTATGATCATCCCCATGCTCAGTCCTATAGTCTATACCCTGAGGAACAAAGACGTGAAGAATGCATTCATGAAGGTTGTTGAGAAGGCAAAATATTCTCTAGATTCAGTCTTTTAATGATGCAAAATCATCACAATGTTATTTTATCTCACTTAGATCTACTTTATACAATAACTCAAATGTTAAAATGCTATATGGTATATAGAATGTAAAATTTCATCTAATATTATTTTTGTCTTTAGTTGAGAAACAGTTCTAAGTATCCACGAGTTAGAAAAATACGATGACAATTTCTCATGGAGTTTAATGAAATATGTGTTGTCTCTTGTCATATTTTAGCCAACTATGAGTCATTACTGTTTCTTAATAAACTAATATTTCAGGCATTAATAATTTTAGGTATTTGGTACAGCTTGTTCATATGACAATTTATAAATGGTAAATAACTATATTAGAATAATAATATATTAGAATTAAAAGGCAGAGATAATTCTTTTTTTTTTAAACTTAGCCTATGACTATCAAAGACATCTTGAACTGAGAGAAAGAAATAAAAGAATCTCTGTTTGCTATTTAAAATATAAAATCATGACCTGGCCCAGTGGCTCATGCCTGTAATCCCAGCACTTTGAGAGGCCAAGGCAGGTGGATCACTTGAGGTCAGGAGTTCAAAACCAGGCGAGACAACGTGATGAAACCCTGTCTCAACGAAAAATACAAAAAAATTAGCCAGACATGGTGGTGGATGCCTGTAGTTCCAGCTACTTGGGAGGCTGAGGCAGGAGAATCGCTTGAACCCAGGAGGCGGAGGTTGCAGTGAGCTGAGATCGTGCCGTTGGACTCCAGCCTGGGTGACAGAGCGAGACTCCGTCTCAAAAAACAGAAGATCATAAGTAATCCCCTAAAAATTATTAGAACTAATAAATCAATTCAGTAAAGTGTCAGGGATACAATAACAACATACCAGAATAAGTGGTATTTCTATATACTAGCAATAGGTAATCTAAAAATAAAATGAAGAAAATTCCATTTACAGAACCATCAAAAATAAGATGCACAGTAAAAACGATTACAAAAAGAACTGCAATGCTTATATTCTTAAAACTATAAAACCTAGTTGAAAGATGTTCAATAAAATCTAAATAAAGGAAAACATTACTTGATTATGAACCAACATTGTACAGCTGGCCACATTCCCTAATTGATATTCAGATTAAATACACTTCCTCTCAAATCCCAGCTGGCTTATTTGCAGAAATTGGTAAACTTATCCTAAAATTCATAAGGAAATTTAAAAGCCCAGAATAATATTTTAAAAAGAGAACAGAGTTGGAGTCCTCTCACACCACAATTTCAAAAGTTACAACAAAAACTGTAGTAATCAAGATAGTATGGTAATGGCATAAGAATAGACATATAGACTAATGGAATAGAATTGTGAACCCGGAAATAAACCCTTACATTTGTGGTCAGTTGATACCCTGTAAGAGGGCCCAAAGGACTCAATGAGGGCATGTAGCCTTTTCAACAAATAGTCTTGGGATAATTGAATGCCTACACACAAAAGAATGAAGTTGGACCCCTGTCTCACATCATACACAAAATTAATTCATAATGGACTACAAACCTAAATGTAAGAGCTAAAATTATATCATTCTTTGAAGAAAACAAAAGAGCTAATGGAAATAGCAAGGTACATTAGGTAATATTTTTAATGAAGAAAAATAAAGTGTAATCAAATTTATGAGTTGCTGAGGGGGACAAAAATTTATGTATGTATGTATGTATGTATTTATTTTTGTGATTTAAAAGTTTTCTTTATTCTTTTGAAAAAACAAAAGCAAAACCCAACAGCCACCCACATGAGAGAGAAGCAACAGGGACCCTAGAGTCCATTTAAAACAGTCCACTTTTTGCAAGAGATGTCTGAGTTTCAAAAATCTCATCACAACCCTCCTCCAAACTCTCTCCTAACCCACATCACTTGGCAGGGGGTAGAGGTAATATTATGAGAAGAATGGGAATCAGCTGGCCACAGCTTGCTGAAACATGTTTGTCTTTAGAAGCCTTCTGCAACTCTGAGGGGGAAATTCATCGCACTAAATGCTTATGGCAGCAAAGAAGAAAGTCTCAAACCACTGATATAAGCTACCATCATTAAGTAACTGGAAAAAGAGAAGTAAATTAAGAGCAAACACTGAACAGATCAACCAGAAAAAAAGAAACTGACAAAGATATAGCAGAAATCAATAATTTAAAAAAAAGAAAACAAATGAAACAAAAATCTCTCTGGTAGCGGAGAGTGGAAAGTAATAAAATTATAAATCCATAGCAAAAAATGACCAATATCAGAAATCAAGAGGGGGACACTACTACAGATATTAAAAGAAGAGGAAAATTATGTGGTTAAATCTGTGCTTTAAAATGTGACGAGTAAAATAAACAGATTTTTAAAGAAACAAAATATCATAGCTCACTTGAGAAAAAAAAATATGACTATACCTTCAGGGATCATTTCTACAGTTGGTTACTGGATAAATTTCTCTAAATGTGTAGAGCACCAAGAGAAGAGGGATTGCGGGGGAGCTGATCATAATTCCAAAAGACACAATCCCAATGCCATAATCCCGAATGTTGAAATCCCAAAAGATCAAAATCCCAGAAAAATAATTCTGGAAAAATAATTTTACAACTTTTAAAAAGATGTTTATTTACATTTTTTAAAGAGAAGGTTATTCAAGAAACCTTACAAAGTGACATTTCGTAGGCCACTTTACACACAAAAAAGCAGGCAATAGCCACACATTTTTGTGACTCAGGTACACTAACGACAATTGCATGGGTCTAACATAACAGATTCATATTCATAAAAATAGACCAAAGATGGAAATGTAAAAATACATATTACTTTGGTAATTGTGTGCACCCAGCTTTATAACTGCAGTCATCTGAAATATCATGAGGAACAACCTAAGTCTTTTGATGAGATAAATCAAAAACACAATGGGTCACCACTGCATAGGCTGCAATGACTCAAAAAGCCAACATCTCAAGAAATCTTATCTTTCACAAATGCAGATGTACAAAAAGGAAATCTCTACTCATTGAGAAAGTTTTGACATTTTTATGTACGCACACAATGCTTACACACAAAGTCAAAACTGTGATAATGCATTCTCATGGGGTCACATTCGCAAAAAAAAATGCATAAAATGAATAAGAACTCTTGAAAAGTCCATACATGATTTATACCTCCAATATTGGAAATGATGTGAAGATGAAGCTTATAGCACTTCAAATTGTAAAAATAATGCTGACAAGTTAAAATAGTGAAAAATAACTAAAAAGAACAAAAGAAAAAAAACTAAGAAGAAAATTTGACGTGAAAAAGTGTATCACAGGGATAGATTATGGACAATTGCATGGAAGACAGTGTGTAAGAGCTAGCCAATTTTTATCTTCATTAGCTGTATTTTGAAGTTTTGTATCACAATGAATAGCTGCTTTTCTTTTTCTTTTGGGACATAGTTCTCCTCAGAGCATATGTTCACATTCATTTTCTACTTGGTCCTGGTCTTTCTGAAATTCTTCTATGATTCACTATATACTGACATGAGTATTTCCTATTTAGTTTTCCCACTTTCAGTTTAGAGATTTTGATCTTTGGGGATTTACACATTGGGCATTATGGCATTCAAAACTATGTATTTCAGGATTATGCTCCAAACCCAGTTAGAGGATGATGGATGAGAACTGTTTTGTTCTCAGCCTGTATTCCCACAAGGGCCTCATCATCTCTGGAGCCAATACTGATGTGGTGGTGTGGGACCCTGAAGGCACAAAGATCATCTCAGCCAGCACCTTGGTGCAGGGAGGAAATTTCAATCTCAATGAGAACATGTGCTACTACCGCATGCCTCTGCTCACCATCGACCCTGGGGGTGCTGTGTATGAGAATGGCATCTTCATGTGCACTGAGGGCACTGGACAAACTGTCTCCTGTGGTCTTTCTCAGCTGAACCACAGAAAGAACACCTTAAACATTAAGGGAGTGACTGTACTCCCTACCTGGGGTATGTAGCTGTTGTGCATCCTGGGAAAAAAGAAATGGGAAGGCCATTCCCGGACATCCCTACTCAGCCTATTATTGACATGAAGGAAGGAGGGACCTTCCTGAATTCATCTACAGCCTCTCTGGTTCTCAGTTTGATGACCATGTTCTAAAACGAGTCTGGCTGAGATCCCCCCACCCCACTCCATCCCTGCCCTCACCAAAGACAGGTGAAGTGACATTTGGTAAAGGCACTGAACTGTCCCCCAAGTGAGGATGGTAGTGCACCTCTACCACCAGCACACACAGCCCCTCCAGCAATAGCTACAGGGCACAGGAGAGGCTGGACTGGTCAACACACCATCTGAGGTGGGTGCACACGTTCTGGAAGCCATCCCCATGACTGAAATGTGATTCACTGTCCTTCAAGTCAACTCCAATAGGCACTTTGAGATGGGGTCCATCTTCTTGGTCCTTTCCTGACTTGGTCTCAACACCTTTCTGGGGTCCAGGAAGCCCACACCATGCACACAGCCAAAAGCATAGAGCCCTGACCAGCCCCTCTCCTCACACCTGCCCCCATGTATAAGTCATATACTCACTTGAAATGCAAAACTATGTTCACACAAAAACCTGTATGCAGATGTTTATAACAGATTTTATTGTAATCAATGAAAACTAGATACATTACTCTCTGTGTTAGGTCCATCATACAATGGAATGCTGCTCAAGAATGAAAAAGGAAAAAAAAGTACTGATAATGCAACAAAATGGATGTATCTAATCTATGTATTTTGCTAAGTGAAAGTCCAACTCAAAGGCTAGATACTATAAGATTCCATTTATGTGGCATTTCTTTAAAAAGGCAGGTTACAAGGACAAAACTCAGTGGTTGCCAGGAGTTGGGAGTGGCAAGAGGATTTGACTATAAAAGATCAGAAAGGAATTTGGGAGTATGATACAACTGCTGTTTTTTTGTTTCAATCTGGATTGTGGTAGTGGTTATGTGATCATGTTTTTTTGCCCCAAATCACAAAAAAAGTATACTATATTTTCTGCATATAAATTATACCTTAATTTTTTTAAAAAATAGAACAAATAATGCAAATACATCTATGTGTTGGCTCAGAAAAACAAGATAGGTATTCATGGGTAGTTTAATTGCGTCTTCTATGAATAAGTGGAATAAGGACCTGTTGCTTCCATAAGGAAAGCTGTTCCCCTGAGATTCTCATGTGTCTAAAACCCTCCCCTGGGCCCTATTCATTGGCTCCTAAAATGCCAATATGATATTGTTTGACCTCATTTTGAAAGGAACAGGCTGTTTGAAGTGATCTCTTCATCATTTATTTGCTTATCTGAATGTGAATAGTTGTTAGTACACATGTTTGTCTTCCTGCAAAGGAAGGGTTTTTCTGAGTCTGCAACCATTGACAGGGAAAACATCCCAGGATACAAATTATATTGAATTCAGTTAAT
The DNA here is from genome assembly GCF_000001405.40 of Homo sapiens. NCBI lineage: Eukaryota > Metazoa > Chordata > Mammalia > Primates > Hominidae > Homo > Homo sapiens. The sequence continues at coordinate 58,352,711 of NC_000011.10, read as the reverse complement.
ATGAAAACACTTTACTGAGTTGTTTTTTAGACCTTCCCTCATTTGCTTCTCACAGCCAATGCACAATTCTGCATAATTCTCTGAGACATGCATAAGTCTTAATAATAATCATAATAATCATCATATGTCTATTTCACAAATGAGGAAACTGAGGCTGACACAGGGTAAGTGACAATTCCAAGAACACTCTTTGACGTATTCAAGAGAAAGTGTCTCTAACAGAATTCATACATTCTCCCCTGGCAGTTTCAGGTCAATTAATCAAAATCCAAGTTTTCCAGCACCTTTTCTCAAGGAGGAAGGTAAGCTTCTATATTCCATACACATTTTTAGTGAGATGTGAACTACATGTAAAACAGTAGGGAAGATGCACTACCATGATCTATTTCAGCTGAAAATAAGATGTCATGAATATTTTCCTGAAATAGTTGGACTAGAGTCTTAATGACAAAAATACTTCTTTTAGTAGGAAGTACACAGATATTCATGAAACACCACACCATGTGCCTGAAAGAATGAGCAAAAACATTAGATAGATGGTGCTGTGATTGAGTAGTGGTCATTCCAACCTAGTTATTAGCTGTCGATCTGTCACTGTAAGAAAATCAAAACAGAAGTTTGAATTAACCATTCTTTAGACTCCCAGTGAGTCCTCACAAAATTACTTAAATTTATAATGCATTTTAGTTTCCTTTACACCATAATCTCACCCTTTTCTTTATGTCTAGAAAAGCTGACAATGTTGCGGTTCAAAGTGCAGGTTGCAAAATCAGTCATACCTACATTTGAACCTTGAATCTACTTCACAGTACATATGTAATTTTAGGAAGTAGTATAATTCCTCAAATAGTTTCCTAATCTGTAAAATATAGATAATAGTACTGATATATAATGTTGTTATGAAGATTAAGTGAAATATATCAATATCTAAATCTATAATTCTCTCTCTCTTTTTTTTTTTTTTTTTGAATTGGAGTCTCACTCTGTTGCCCAGGCTGGAGTGCAGTGGCGCAATCTCGGCTCACTGTAAGCTCCGCCTGCCGGGTTCATGCCATTCTCCTTCCTCAGCCTCCCAAGTAGCTGGGACTACAGTCGTCTGCCACCACTCCCGGCTAATTTTTTGTGTTTTTAGTAGAGACGAGGTTTCACCATGTTAGCCAGGATGGTATCGATCTCCTGACCTCGTGATCCACCCACCTCGGCCTCCCAAAGTGCTTGGATTACAGGCGTGAGCCACCACGCCTGGCCTAAATCTATAATTCTCTTATAAGTGTTCATAGAATAGAACATGTGTTATAAAAAGTTATAGGTTATACTATACTATTTGGAAATTGGCAAACACAAATGCTTCCAGGGACCAGGAATGTCAAATGAAGTTGCACAGTGGCTAGGATGAAGATGGTAGAGAAGACTAATTACAGAGAATGGATGTCCTGTTGAAGAATCCAAATTCAAATTTAAAAAAACAAAAAACATGCAGTTTACCATGAGCACTTATCTGCCAGCTAGAATAAAATCACCAGTCTATAAATTTTCAACCCCTCAAATCTATAGTTTATCTAAGGAATGCGAGTAGAAAGAGTAGAAATGTGTTTTGGGAAAGCACACACTTCAAAATATGGAAATGGAAGGAAAGTTAAGCAAAAATAGGCAGAAGGTACCTGGGCTCCTAGGTGGGATGGCTGACGGACAGTGAGAAACACAGAGAAGACTGAATGAACCTACCGCGTGAGGAAAAGTAAATACAACAGTGGGACCCCCAGGCTTCCTACTCACCCACAGCTGAAAGTCCTGCATATCACACCCAGCTTTCCCAAACCAAAATGAAGATCATCATTGCATCCTAATGATATTATCATAGCAAGCACTCAAAAGATTGTGTGAGTGAAGTTTGAAGCTTCAAAACACCTACATCGTGCTCACTGGTTTTTATGCATTATTTCACTTAACTCTTATAATAATTAATTTTGTTAGATCCCACCACCGGCTTCATCTTACAGATAGATAAAATGAGGTTCAAAGAAGTTATGTTAGTGTCAACGTCTTCCAGTAGTAAATAGTAGGGCTGTTACTTCAATGTATATACCCCTCTTCTGAGAGCCCAAACTCTAACACTCAATGCCATACCTTCTCATTAGAATTGCTTTTGTTGGTTGCATATGTCTCTACTACTGTTGAGCTATTATCCCACCACACCTAATTTACATATATTACTTCACTAGACACCCTAAGCATGGGCTAATAGACACAATAAGTAAATGTGAATTGAGTTCAAATAAATTCAATTTAATTTCAGTTAAGAGCATAGGTCTTGAGAATCACTCTGCCCAGGTTCAAAACTTGCTCTGTCAGTTGATACTCATGTAAATTTGCACAAAATACTCAATCTTTTAACCAGCTTATTAACAAGATTGAACATACTAAGCATGTGGTGTGTGTGTGTGTGTGTGTATGCTTGGAATGAGTGCTATAAATGTTAACTATTTACACACTCAGGTGATGTGATTTGGGAGATGCATTTGTTGCAAATATGTGATCTTTGAGAAATCATAGCCTTTTTCTGCACCACTACACCTCTGTTTGTTCATGTACAAAAGTAGAAATTTGTGCATGTGGTGAGAGGATACTTCATTTCAACAGTCTGTGACCACATAAATAATTTATCAGCCAAATGTTTCGTTTTGCTCAAATTAATGCTTTAGAATAAAAAATCATGAAGAAAAAATTATGGCCTTAATGAAATGATGAAATAACAGAATATATGTGTATGTGTGTGTGCATGCTCATGAACACAAACTTTTTACATTATAAGTGCAATGTCTTATATATTTACCAACTCTTCCTTTTTTTCATATTACAATAGAGATTTTTTTAATTCACATGTAAAATAACTCAAAGTTTACTGATTTCATCCTGGTAGGTCTAACCAATGCCACAGAACTTCAGATCCCCCTCTTTATCTTGTTCATCCTCATCCACCTCCTCATTCTGACTAGGAACCTGGAGATCATACTGTTGATCCTGCTGGACTCTTGTCTCCAATTCCCATGTACTTTTTCCTCAGTAACCTGTCTCTGCTTGGATACTTAACTGTCACTCCCAGGGTCACGGCTAGCAGGGCTAGGTTACTTAGAGGGTAGGAGGCTAAGTTCCTCGTACAATGCTTGTGCTGCTCAGATGTTCTTTTTTGTAGCCTTGGCCACAGTGGAAAATATCGCTGTTGACATCAATGGCCTATGACCACTATATAGCAGTGTGCAAACCCCTACACTACACTACCACCACGATAGCCAGTGTATGTGCTCATCTGGTCATAGGCTCCTATGTCTGTGGCTTTCTAAATGCCTCCCTCCGCATTGGGGACATATTCAGTCTCTCTTTCTGTAAGTCCAATCTTGTCCATCACCTTTTCTGTGATGTTCCACCAGTCATGGCTGTGTCTTGCTCTGGTAAACACATTAGCAAGAAGATTCTGGTTTTTATGTCAAGCTTCAATGTCTTTTTGGCTCTTCTAGTTATCTTGACCTCCTACCTGTTCATATTCATCACCATCTTGAAGATGCACTCAGCTCAGGGACACTTAAAAGCTTTGTCCACCTGTGCCTCTCACCTCATTGCAGTCTCCATCTTCTATGGAACTACTATCTTTATGCACTTACAGCCTAGCTCCAGCCATTCCATGGACACAGATGAAATGGCATCCTTGTTCTATGCTGTGTTCATCTCCATGCTGAACCTTGTGTTCTACAGCCTGAGGAGCAAAGAAGTCAAGAATGCATTCAAAAAGGCGGTTGAGAAGGCAAAATTTTTCTTAGAACTGTGATTTAATGTGGTAGGGTACACAATAACCCAGTTTCATTCTTTTCAGAACTTCCCCATGAAATTAATCACATTGCATTTTCACAATGCATTTAAATTCCAGTTGTGATAGCCTTACTTCTTCAGAAGGTAATAGCCTTACCTTTCTTTTTACCTGCCTAGTAAAAAGAAAATACGTCCAGAATGTATTACATGAACGAAAATACTGCTGGAAAAGCATAAGAACATTTGGGTCCTTTTTGTCAAAACCTTTCTAATGGCAGTTGATTTGTTTCCTTGTCCCACTGCATTTTTTCTATCACCCATCAATGCAAACATATGTGCCTAACAGGGGCACAAACAAGCTCATGAACAGAAGCAAATGTATGTGAGAAATTTGTCAGAGTTGAATGGGATCTGACTAGTTTTTAATAAAAAGTATTTAAAATAATTAATTGAGGTATTAGAATATTAGAAAAATTTATCTAATGTTATTTATTTCTTTAGTCAAATTACTGTTCTAGGAACTTAAATTGAAGAAAAAAATGTATATACTTGATATGGTTTGGCTTTGTGTCCCCACCCAAATCTCATCTCGAATTGTAATCCCCATAATCCCTGTGTGTCAAGGGAGAAACCTTGTGGGAAGTGATTGGATCAGGAGGTGGTTTCCCCCATGATGTTCTCATGATAGTGAGTGAGTTCCCATGAGGTCTGATGATTTTATAAGGGGCTCTTACCCCTTCGCTCTCTCTTTCCTGCTGACATGTGAAGAAGTTATTTACTTCTATAATTTGCATCTATAATTTGTCAATTAACAAAAATATACTACTACTGTTACAGGTAACAGTATGGATAGACCTCCAATATGTTTGCTATGCTAAATGAAAGGTGCCAGAACCAAAGATTACATATTCTAGGATTCTAGTTAAGTATATTCTTGCAAAAATAAAATTATGTACACAAAAAGATTGTGTTTGCCATGTGCGGTGGGTGGGAGAATGGTTTGACAACCAAGAAGCTTGAGGTTATTTATTATGCATGATCATGTTAATGGTTACATGAATACATAACCATTCATGTTATGAGCAAATTTTTAGAACTGTACTTTAAATATACACATGTTAATGTTTGTAAAATATACATTGATTAAAAATGAAAAAGAAACTAATACAAACATATGTGTGAACAGTCAAAATATCCTGCTTAATTCCCACAGGTAGTTAAATTGCTTCTTCCCTGGGAGAGTGGATGAGGAGCTATAGATGCCCTCATGAGGGACATCACCAGAGAGTTCCATGTCTCCATAATTCCCTGCTGGTTCATTAGCATTAGCCTCTGAAAGTCAACATGACTCCAGGTAACTTTATTTTAGAGATACCAGGCTGTGTGATGGTCCTTCGTCATCATTTATTCGTCTGAATCTTAATATGTGTTAGTACAAACAGGTCTTCTTCTGCCGTGAAGATTTATTATGAGGTTACTACTATAGTTAGGAACAAAAAATGCACACACACACACCAAAATTAAAATTATATTAAGCAACAAAAATAATAACCACTTAGCAAGTTGTTTTGGAGACCTTTTATTTGCTATTTACAAACATAATTATTTGTATTATATGGAAGATGTAATTTTATAATCTTTATTTTACAAATAAGGAGGATATAAATAACTCCTTAAGGACATAGAAAGAAGGAAGGATAGAATCATGACCTGGATGTGTATTAGTGTCTTTCCTCCATCTTTCCCTGCCTTAGAGTCCTTAAAACCTCTTGAAGAGGAGGTTCTTAGTCTAAGAGTCCTTAGAACCTCTTGAAGAACCTACCTGCAAGAGACTTTCTCAAACAATATTTACGTTATTTCATGGAAGAATTTCTGATTTCAAACACGCTATTCAGGAGTGGCTGTTCCTTGTTTTCAAGGAACAAGATAAGCTTCTATATTCAATGTATACTATTAGTAAAAAATTTAATTCCTGAAAAAATAATGGGGCAAATATAACATACTATGAGTTATTTGAGCACAGAAATATAGATTTTGAACATTTTTCTAAAACACTGAGGTGAAGCTAGGGTATAAATATTAAAATTCCATCAATAGAGAGTTTGGTGATACTTATAAAACATCCTAAGGTTGCTTTCTAAAAATATTAACAAAAAATCATATAGGTGATGTTCTGATTGAATAGATAGTAATTTCAATTTGTTCACTATCCATTGGCTTCTCATTGGAGATTAAATAAATAATACAGAATGAAATGATCCTACTTTGAACTACAAAAGAACCTAAGTGAATTAGCAATATCTGAACATTTTAACATTTGAATATCTGAATTTTAACATTTTTCCTATAATCCCATAATCTCATCCTTATTATTATTAGCATATCTAAACATGTTGAGAGTGATGTGGCTAAAAGAACAGGCTTTTGATTATGATAAAACTGGGTTTAAATCTTGAATCTTAAAATCTTCCTTATACTAGCTGTAGAATTGTACAATATCACATAACTTCAAGAATTATCAATTGCCTCGTTGATAACTAAGAACAGGCTTGCAAACACAAACACAATCACACACACGGCTATGTATAAAGCTCTTATCCTATATTTTGGAACATAGTATATGCTAAAAGTGGGATGTGCGTTAAGATGGACAAACATAAAACCCTCCTGGGCTAGGGTTGTACATTGAAGTTGTAAAGGAATAGGAGGACAATAATAGGGAATAGAATTTAGCAAATGATGGAAATGCTTCCAAAAGCTTTAAATTAAAATAAAAAAGACTTAAAATACTGTTCATACACTAGGACAGATTCAAATAAAAACATTTTAAACATAAACTTTCCACCAAAACACAACTGCAGGCTAAAGGTAATCCACAAACTATGAACTTTCAGCCATCAATATATGTGATTCAATTATAAGGATGCCAGTAATGAGAAAAAGAAATTTTCAACTCAAGAAAATTGTGGATTCCAAGAAAAAAATATTAAACAAAAGAATGGCTCACACGGAATGAACAGAGCAGCCAATCATATGGGCAGAGCATGAACTAAGTGTAAATCACTGGGGTGGGGGCACATAAAATCTCATGAACCTGGTGTGTGGGGAAAAAAAGCAAAATAAAGTGGGATACTTAAGACTTCAAGCATTATCCATACTTGAAGCTCTGCATGTTGCCACCTATCTTCTCAAACCACATAAAGGCTATCATTTCATTCCAATAATAGAAGCACAACTAGCACTCATCAGGCTGTGCTAAACAATCAGCATTTTACTCATTGACTTTTTTTAATGCACTCTCTCATTTCATTCTCCAAATAATACCTTGGGGTAGGCCTCATTACCACCTTCTTTATGTAGATGAAGAAATTCTTGTTCAGGTAGTTAGGTTAGGACCAGTGATTCTTAGGTTGTACATGTAGAAATGACGTGCACCTCTTCCCAGAGCCCAAGCTCCATACATAGTGCTATGCCCTCCAGTCCCTCAGCATCACCTCTGCGGTTTACACATTCTTCTACTGCCCCAGTTATCTCACCACATCTACTATGCATGTATCTTTAAGTTAATTCACTGTGAAATCACAAACACTGAGTTTGAAATAATAGAGAAAATGAATAATTGTAAATTGAGTTAAATTCAGTTTTATTTAAATGCAATTTAGTCAATCAAATTTGGTAACAATTCTGTCTGGAGTCAAAGCTTTGCCTGCCAATGAATAATTCTGTAAACATGAATAAAACACTTAACCTCTGGTGCCTCACAATCTAAATGAAAGTAACAACTACTCAATTTTATAAATTTATTGAGAGGAATCAAGGAATATAGATGTAAAAATATCTAGCTCTGGGCACATTGGCAACGTAGAAGTCTATGAATTTATTAGACTAGGAAAAGTTGAACTGGCTGATTTGTTAATTCCAGAATTATCATATTGGATAATTCACAAATTTTTCCAGATCTCAGTTTGTAAATATATAAAAATTAAACACTGGAGAGATGACCTCTATGGATCCTTCAGTCAACAGTCTAGGGCTCTATTGATAATTAATCCACTAAATCTTGTTGTTAAGTTCATGCTTTCATTATGGAAAATCATGAAACACATATTATTGCTATAATGAAATAGTACATAATGTACATAAACATTTTATTTTCACTGCAATCTCTACTGCCTTTAATGTTCTGTTCCTTTATTTCTCATTCATATAGGGTGTCTCCTGATTCCAAATAACACTGATGTAGAACAGTAGAGAGGCGTCACAGTTCATCTTCCTAGGACTAAGCAATGTCCCAGAACTGCAGGTCCCCTTCTTTATCATGTTTGTTCTCATCTATCTCATCAATGTAGTTGGAAACTTGGGGATGATCATTTTGATTCTCTGGTACTCTCAGCTCCACAATCCAATGTACTTCTTCTTCAGTAATCTGTCTCTGGTAGACTTTTTTTACTCTTCAGTTGTCACTCCAAAGGTCATGACTGGGCTCCTTAGAGAAGACAAAATCATTTCCTATACTGTGTGGGCTACTCAGACATTCTTTTCTGATTCCTTTGCCAGTGTGGTAAATTTATTATTGGCCTTAATGGCCTCTGGCCACTATGCAGCAGTGTGCAAACCCCTGCATTACACCACCACCATGATGACAAGTGTGTGTACATGTCTGGCCATAGGTTGATACGTTGGTGGTTTCCTGAATGCCTCCATTCACACTGGGGAAACATTCAGTCTCTTTCTGTATGTCCAGTGAAGTCCATCACTTTTTCTGTGAGGTTCCAGCAGTCATGGCTCTGTCTTGCTCTGATAGACATGTGAATGTAGTGGTTCTTGTTTATGTAACCAGCTCAATATCCTCTTTGCCCTTCTAGTTATCTTGATATCCTACTTATTGATGTTTATCACCATCCTAAAGATGCACTCAACTGCAGGATACCAGAAGGCTTTGGCCATTTGTGCCTCTCACCTCACTGCAGTTGCCATCTTCTATGGGACTATTATCTTCATGCATATACAGCCCAGCTCCAGTCATTCCATTGACACAGACAAAATTGCAGCTGTGTTTTATACTATTGTCTTCCCCATGGTGAACCATGTGGTCTAAAGATTGAAGAACAAGGTGAAGAGTACATTCAAGAAAATTGTTGAGAAGGTAAAATTGTCCCTAGGATTGTGAGTTTAACATTTCAGCATGCATAATACCTAGTTTCATTCCTTTCTGAAATTCTCCAGTCACTTCACGACATTTTAAGGCCCACAATCCAGTTAATTTCTAGAAATTATATCCTTACCTCTTCAAAAGTCTGTTGTCTAGAAAAGGGAAATGTAATGATTAGAAATGTAATACCTGAATAAAAATGGCGTAAGGAAATCATAAAGTGATGTAGTTCAAAAAATGCATTAGGAAGACTTAATTTATTCACTCTTTATATGCATTTTCTCTATCATATGGCACAAGTAACATACATGTAAAAACTGGTGACAAACAAACCCATGAACAGAAACGCATACATGTGACTGCTATGAGCACATACACATAGGAGTGAAAAATTAGCCAGAGGTAAAGGGAATGTGGCTAGGGTTTCAATAAAAATAATTTAGTTAATTGGGGAATTCAAATATAAATTTTTGACTACTGTTACTTTTTTCTTAAGTTGAATATTCTAAGCATTATTGTTTGAGAAAAAAGTGCTATGGCTTTAAATGAAAGTATTGGCTCATATTGTAAGCATATTTTATTGAGAGATACATAGCTAAAGCATTTTAAATGATTAATATTTCTGTCTTTAAATCATTTTGTAGAACATACATTTTTATATTACATTTTCTTTATATAAAAGACAAAAAGCTTTCTTTTTTCTTTTTTTTTAACTTTTATTTAAGATTCAGGGAGTACATGTGCAAGTTTGTTAAATGGGTATAATTTGTGATGTTGAAGTTTGGAGTACAGAACGTCCTGTCACTCAGATACTGAGCATAGTACCCAATAGTTAGTTTGTCAGCCCTTGTGTCCCTTCCTCTAGTAGTCTTCAGTGTCTATTGTTGCCATCTTTATGTCCATGAGTACCCATTGCTCAGCTCCCACTTGTAAGTGAGAATGTGTGATATTTGGTTGTATATTACTGCATTAATGTGCTTAAGATAGTGGCCTCCAGCTGAATCCATGTTGCTGCAAAGGATATGATTTCACTATTTGTTATGGCTGTGTAGTATTTCATGGTGTTTATGTACCACATTTTCTTTATCCAGTCACCATTGATGGGCACCTTGGTTGATTCCATCTCTTTGTTATTGTGAATAGTGCTGCAATGAACATATGAGTATATGTGTCTTATTGGTAGAACAATTTGCTTTCTTTTGGATATATAGCCAGTAATGGGACTGCTGGGTTGAATGATAGCTCTGTTTTAAGTTGTTTGAAAGATTTCCAAACTGCTTTCCATGGTGGCTGCACTAATTTACATTCTCACCAACAATGTATAAGTGTCCCCTTTGCTCCACAACCTCACCAACATCTGTTCTTTTTTGATTTCTTATTAATAGCCATTCTGCCTTATGTGAGAAAGTATCTCATTGTGGTTTTGATCTGCATTTCTCTGATGATTAGTGATGTTAAGCATTTTTTCATGTTTGTTGGTAGTTTGTATGTCTTCTTTTGAAAAGTGTCTTTTCCTCATTTTTAAATGGGATTATTTATGTTTTACTTGTTTAATTGTTTAAGTTGCTTATACATTCTGGATATTCAACCTCTGTCAGATGCATAATTAGCAAATATTTCCCTCCATTCTGTAGATTGTCTGTTTACTCTATTGATAGTTTCTTTTGCTCTGTTAAATCTCTTTAGTTTGATAGTCTCTTTTGTTGTACAAAGGTTCTTTGGTTTAATTAGGTCTCACTTGCCAAATTTTGGTTTTGTTGCAATTGTTTTCGAGGCCTTATTCATAAATTCTTTTCCAAGGCCAATGCCCAGAATGATGTTTTCTTCCAGATTCTCATAGTTTGAGGTCTTATATTGAAGTCTTTAATCCATTTTTAGTTAAATTTTGCATACAGTAAAATTAGGGGTCCAATTTCATTCTTCCAGTTTCATTCTTCTGCATATGGCTAGCCAGGTATCCCAGCACCATTTATTGAATACAGAGTCCTTTCTTCATTGCTTATTTTTGTTGATTTTGTTGAAGATAAGATAGCTGTAGGTGAGTAGCTTTCTTTCTGGATTTCCTATTGTGTTCCATTGGTCTATGTGTCTGTTTCTGTACCATGCTGTTTTGGTTATTGTAGCCTTATAGTATAGTTTAAAGTTGGGAAATATGATGCCTCTGGCTTTGTTGTTTTTGTTTTGGATTGCTTTCACTATTCAAGCTCTTTTTTGGCTCCAATGAATTTAAGAATTGTTTTTTCTAGTTCTGTGAAAAATGATGTTGGTAATTTGATAGGAATAGCATTGAATCTGCAGATTGCTTTGGGCAATATGGCCATTTTGACAATATTGACTCTTCTAATCCAGGAGCATGGATTTTTTTTTCCACTTGTTTCCCTGATGAACATGGACACAAAAATCCTCAACAAAATACTATCAAACTGAATCCACCAGTTCATCAAAAAATCAATTCACCATAATCAAGTAGGCTTTATTCCAGGAATGCAAGGTTGTTTAAATATATGCAAATCAATAAATGTGATTCACCACAAAAGCAGAATTAAAAACAGAAACCATATGATTAATTTGATAGCAAAAAAGATTTTTATAAAATCCAACATCCCTTCGTGATAAAAATCCTGAACAAACTAGGCATTGAATGAATATACCTGAAAATAATAAAAGCCATCTATGACATACCCAGAGTCAACATTATACTGAACAAGCAAAAACACAAAGCATTCCCCTTGATAACTAGAACAAGAAAAGGATGCCCACTGTCACCACTCTTACTCAAAATAGTACTGGAAGTTCCAGCCAGAGCAATCAGGCAAGAGAAAGAAATAAAAGACATCCAAATAGAACAAGAACTCAGTAAACTGTCTTTTTTCCAAGTTGACACGATTCTATAGCTATAAAACCCTAAAGATTCTACCAAAAGGTCCTGCAACTGATTAATGACTTCAGTAAAGTTTCTGGATACAAAAATCAATCTATGAAAATCAGTAGTATTTCTATACACTAATAATGTTTAAGCTGAGAGCCAAATCAAGAATACATCCCATTTACAATAACAAAAACAAAAGATACCTAGTAATATATCTAACCAAGGAAGTGAAAGATCTCTACAGGGAGAACTACAAAGCACTGCTCAAAGAAATCATAGATGATACGTTACACTTTTCAAAAGGATAAAATAGCCAGAGAATAATAAAAATTAAGGGAAAATATAGGCATTTTCAATTTATCCATACATGACTACCAACATTCACTCTATTTATGGCCTGAGATAATAATTTTCTACATATTTTCTCTCTGCAAGGGCTTTGAAATGTTACTTATTAAAATTTAATTTAGTTGAGATACATCATCTCTTGTCACTTCTCTAGTGTTTTGTCTCTATCCGTTCACATTACTCTCCTTGATATTTCTTCACATCTCCAAACATGCTCCTGCCTCAGGACATGTGGACTTGCTGTTCCCTCTGTATGGAAATTTTTCTTCCTCCACTCAGGTCTTTGCTCAAATAAATGTTAACAAATCATGGAAGCCTTCCCTTTATATAAGTCCCTCTCCCCTCACCATGTGTACTATCCTGTCACCCTGCATTATTCTTCATAGTCCTTAACACTCCCTACTGTATGTTTATTTGATCACTTTTCATTTATCATCCCCAGTTAGAACTTAAACTTCTTAAGAGCAGTGACTTTTGTTTTGTTTGCATGATCCTGCTCAGCACCTAAATAGATACCTGTTTCATTGTAGATTCTCTCTAATTATTTGTTAAGTGAATGATTAAAATAATTAAGCTGAGCCCAATTTTATCAATATATTGAATATTTGAGCCATAATGTAAACTTTCTTCAGAGGCATGTAGCATATTTCAACAAGTACAGCTTATTTTCTGCTTTGCTGAAATTTTTAAATCTACATTCTCAGTGCTTGCATGCCCCACTTTTGGACCCAATGATTTCCTGGGAATCTCATCATTAAATGAATCATCTCATAATTTTTAGTTTTGACATAATATGTCATTAAGTGGCAAGTCACACATCAAATAAATGCTATTTAGTAAATCACAAGAAGAAATTCAATCTGATTATATAAAAGTATAATGTATGATTATATTTGCAAAATTACTTCATACATGCAAATCACACAATTAACTGAAATGTTTTTAAATGTGCAGATAGAATATAAACATGAAAACTTCTATCAGTGAAAAAGATAACAAATTCAATATGCTAATATAATGCATGGTTTTTTATGCTTTTCCTTTTGATCCTCGGGGAGCTCTATACTATATAAAAACTACTCCCAGGAGTGTGCATCTGTATCTTCTTTTTTGTCTCTGTAAAATTAGATGCTTGAACATCTCAGTGTTTGTAAGATTGCACTTGTATGTGCTAAGATGCTGGTGTTTGTGGGGCAGTGTAGTACGACACAGATATTTATTTCTGTCTTATGGAAGAGGCAATAAATGGATTGTCCCTTAGACCCTCCTGTGGGAACATATCGCTGCCAACAATTAATTTGGTCTAGTGAAACTGCTTTTGAACTTTTGAAGTTCAGAGCTGTGAAATAAATATGTGTTATTTTAAGTTTCTAAATTTGTGATAATTTGTCACAGCAGTCATGAGAATTGAATATAAACCCTCCTCTGTTTTCCCCTACGTTATAATCTCATATTACGGTATATGTCAAAACTAAGAAACCACATTTCTACAATGTTATATTTTAAATTTCAGGCTTTATTCAGATTTCATTAGTTTTCCACTAATATGCTTTTCCTCTTCTTACATTTACTTTTCATGTCTCTTTAATCTCTAATTCTCTGTGACAAGTTCTCATTCTTTCTCTGTTTTTGATGATCATGACAATTTTAAGGATTTCTAGCCAGGAATTTCACAAAATGCTTACCATTTGAAATTTTCTGAAGATTTTTTTAATGATTTGCCTGGGGCAATGGGTTTTGGGGAGAAATACCTCTGAGATAAAATTTTATTCTCATGACATCACATCAAGAGTATATTCTATCAACTTGACTTAATCACTAATGTTAACATGATCATACGTGCTAGAAAAAATTTACTAAGTTTCTCCATTGTAGATTAGTTTTTTAAACTTTTCTATATTCTGTTCTTTAGAAAGAAGTCACTAAGTCCAGCTCACACTCTAGGTGTTGTGAAACTAAGCTACATCTAGTTCTTTTGTAGCAAAATTTATCTCTTCCATTCATTTGTTTATTGGCTTAATCAACAACACACTGCAGGGTGTGTCTGCAGCTCTTGGAGTTTAACTTCTTCTAGGTCCTCTTAGAGATAGAGCTAGTATATATAGAATACATACATATTAATATATGCACACAACTACACTTATTTTTATATCTAGAAAGTATATGTGTGTTTATATCTATATCCCATTGCTATTAAGCTAAACATGGCTTCCTATCAATATTTCTGACTCCAATCCAGTTCATTTAATCTTCCCCCCTTTCTTATCTATGACTTCCCTTTCTGACAGTTAGAAACTTAGCTCTCCACAACCCCTATTTATAGACTTATTTTTTGACTCCAATACACAAGTAAGGCAGTTCCATAGTTGTTCATCATAATGAGAAGCAACTTTAGCAACAACAGAACCATATTTATGTATAATTCCTTTTACTTTTAGACAAAGTTTTTGGTCAACACACTGTTTTCCAATGTTACTTAGATCAACGTTTTTTTTTTCTCGTCTACCTTCAATGAAATTATGTCATACATTTGTAATACAATTTAATTACTTCATCATCATCTGCTTAAAGGTTAAGCAATTATTATTCTCAATAAAGATTTTTACAAACATTTTGAAAGAGGTTTATGGGAACATAGAGTTTTAGTTTACACTTTACATTTAGTTCCTTTTTGGCATATGGACAAACAATTGTTGTGGCACAGTTTGTTGAGAGAATATATTTTGTCTTTGTTCATTTGTGCTGGCTGCTATAACCAAATAGCACAGACTGGATAATTAATTATAATGAACAGAAATTTATTGGTTCACTGTTCTAGAGGCTAGGAACTCCAAGATCCAAGGGGCTGACATTTGGTAAGGGGCTTCTTTCTGCATCATTTCATGATGAGAAAGCAAAGAGAAGGTAAGAGAGAACAAGAGGGGGAAAGCTCACCCCTGCAATAATGAACCCATTCCAGTGATAATGACATTAGTCTATTGATAGGGTACAGCCTTCATGACTTAAATATATCTGAAAGATCCCACCTTCCAATACCATCACAATGGCAATTAAATTTCAACCTGGGTTCTGGAGGAACAAATGCTCAAAACATAGCATATTTTCTCCATTGGTCTGTCTTTCCATCTTTCACAAAATTCAATTTATTATCTACCTGTGGATCAATTTCTGTATCCCGTAATCAATTCCATTGATTTATGTGCATACCTTTTGCTCAATACCATATTGTATTGACTTCTATTATAAAGGTAAGACATGAAACCAGGTCATGTACATGCTTCAGCTTTGTTCTTTTATAATTATTTTGTCTATTCTGCTAGGTTTGCTGTTATGCAAAAAGTTATAACCAGTTTGTCAGTATTTACCCAAAAAAAAGCTCACTTGAGTTTCAGTTGAGATCATATAAAGTCTGGAAAATAGTCATCTTGAAGTCTGCCGATCCATGAATATAACATATCTTTATGCTCATTTAGATGTTTTATTTTTAACTGGTGTTCTGTACTTTTGGCATTTTTAAGACAAATATCTTAAATATGTTCATAGAGCTAAAGGAAGTCTTGAACAAAGAACTAAATGAAACCAAGAAAACAATGTATCAAAAAGTTTCTAAAAATTAATAAAGGGAGAGTAATTATAAAATATTACCATAATAGAAATTGTGGAACAGTAACCAATAAGAGATTAAGTATACCATGAAAAGTAATGGCTCAGATTGCCTGATTTAAAAATATTAATATCTTTTATGCTATCAAACTACTGTCATTTTCATTGCCACATGAGAGTAGGAGCACAGCTTATGAGGAGGGGTAGAAGGTATCTCATTTTGTGAATTAAGAAGATATGGCCATGGCAAATCTATACCCAGCTCTTTATGAACAGACCTAGGATTATAATTGATCTTGTGTTTTGCAGTACAATTTTATCCACATGCCTGCATATCTGAATTTCTAGATGAAAAACAGTCATTTCTTGCTGCTTTATACCTAGAAGTATATATAAGAGAGTGGGCAGTGCATTGGCTTCTTGGTATTTTAGTGGAATACAGAAATTAGTTATTTTTCAAAAATAACTTTAATTAGATGAACATTTTATATGTTTTATCACAGTGTGGCAACTCACAGAAGAAGAAAATTCATGTAGGGTGCTCTGGCACATTCTGAACATTTTCATGGTGATTTCATAACATATTATAGAGATATTAATTATATCACTTATTACTGTTTGGGTGCTTATTTACAGAGCTTATTGGCTCTGCCCCCATAATAAGTAATCACGTTATTCACTTTTTAATAACAGTGATTAACACAGAAACTGTTATAAAGTCAGAATTCAGTTCTCCTTAAATGTATTAGGTCAAAGAGATTCAAGCTATGCCTTCTGTGTTAGAGCTGGGAAAACTTTATATTTTAATTCTGAGCACATGGTAGAACATATTTATTATAAAGTGATCACAAGTTCTAAAGCTTTGCATATGTGCAAATCTATCTAGGAGGAGAATGAGTACTTAGTCTGAAGCAAACATTACACTAAGTATTCTATATAATCTATTTTATTTTATTCATCTATTATAAAGGGAGAAAAATATTATTTTTTCAATTGTACAGATGAGGAAAGTAATACATAGAAAAGTTAATTAATGTGACACAGAATTTTGGAAAGATGGTTAAGATTGTGCACTTTAGATGGAGTCTAATCTCATTTAAGAGTTGGAAACAAATGAAACAAAAATAGCAATGTGAAATATGAAAAGAAAACCAATAAGATAACATAAAAAATATACATTCACAACAGTTTTATACAATTTTTGATTGAGGGGATAAATATTAAACTAGACAAAGTTAAATTGAGAAATATAGTTCAAAATACAGTTCAGAGAGCAAAGAGATAGAAAATACAAAAAAGAATTTAAGTCAGGATGTAGAGATGCCAGCAAGATGGCAGAGTAGAAATGCCCAACTTTGTCTTCCACAGAAACACCAATTTGCCATGATGTGTGGATCAAAATAACTTTACGGGAAGTGCAGAATCTAGTTAAATAGTTGCAGTACCCCCAGACAAGTACAAAACTAAGAACAGTCACATTGAAACATGTAAAAAGAGCAATTTCACTTTACCATATCAGCTCTTTTTTCAAGTTGTCACAGCTCGGCACCAACTGAGAGATTGCCTCAGTCTAAAATTTTCTCTCGGAGGGAGAAGAAAGTGGGGCATATATTCAATCTTCTAGTCTTTCAGCATGCTGCCAAAGCCAGTTTGTAAAGACTGGGAAAGGGGACTTTTTATTCAAACACAGACACCAAGGCAAAGCTACAAGAAACACAAAGAATCAGGAAACCATGACACAATCAAAGGAATGAAATACATGTCCAGTAATGAAATGTAATATAAGGTTATTCTTTGTTGCCTCAGTGGCTCTAAAGTAGTTGCATTCTCTCTGCTTGTTTTAAACTTTTACCTAGTCATTGTCCACTACCAAGCACTCATCTCTCAACATATGTGGCCAGGCAATAAGTCATATGATGACCTTTCCATTTGATGTCTTCCTTTCCCTGTTTTGACCTAGTTACATTTAAATTAACCAACAAAAATACTGCCTTCATGCTATGGCTGCACCACCTATGACTACCCCCAATAAAAATGCTCACCCATGAGTCATCTCCTCTGTCTGTTTTCCTGACAACCAAGCTCAACCCACAGCTTTTGGTGAATTATGTGACCCTCTGGTAATACTGTGCCTCTTCTTTAAGACCTGTGAGTATAATAAAATTTTAAGTTTTTATGTTTCTCTCAGTGCTTTTGATCTGTGTAGAAGTGATCCTTGAAGGACCCCAACAAGGGTGCTTAGCCCTGTTTACACAATACTGACCCTAATGTAATGGAGATCTATAACTTTCTTGTCAAAAAAGATAATGATCTTAGAGGAGCTAAGTGAATTAGAACACAGATGATAAAAGAAAATCAGGGAAATGATACAGGAACAAAATAAGAATATAACAAAAAGTAATGATAAAAAGGAAACACATAGAAATTCTAAACCTGAAGAAAAAAATAACTGAACTGAAAAATTTATTAGAGGGATTAAACAGAAGACTTCATCAAGCAGAGGAAAGAATCATTAAACTTATAGACGACTCACTTGAAATTATACAGTCAGAGAAAAAAACAAGGAATAAAAAAGTGAAGGAAGCCTAAGGGAATTAGGATGCAAAATCAATTGAAACGATATACATGTTATGGGAGTTTCAAGGACTCAACAGATAGAGAAAAGAGCAAAAGATTTATTTAAATATATCATGGCCCCAAATTCCCAAATCTGGGGGAAAAAATGAATATCCACATTTATGAAGCCCAAAGGACCTCAAACAGGATTACCCAAAGACACATTATAATCAAATTGTCAAAAGCCAAGGACAAAGAGAGAATTTTGAAAGCAGCAAGACAAAAGTAATTAGTGAAGTACAAGTGAGCCTCCATTAGACTACCAATGGATTTTTCAGAAGAAATGTTGCAGGTCAGAGGAAGGGGATAAAATCTCCAAAGTGCTAAAAGAAATAGAAACTACCAATTAAGAATACGATACCTAGAAAAACTGTCTTTCAGAAATGAAGAACAGCTAAAGACCTTTCCAGAATGCCAAAGGGGAGAGAGTTCATCATCACAAGACCAGTCTAATAAGAAATGCTAAAGGAGGTACTTCAAACTAAAATGAAAAGACATGGTGGGGCGTGGTGGCTTACCCCTGTAATCCCAGCACTTTGGGAGGCCAAGGAGTGTGGATCATCTGAGGTCGGGAATTCAAGCCCAGCCTGGCCAACATGGTGAAACCCTGTCTCTATTAAAAATACAAAAAATTAGCTGGGCGTGGTGGCAGGTGCCTGTAATCCCAGCTACTCGGGAGGCTGAGGCAGGAGAATCGCTTGAACCTGGGAGGTGGAGGTTGCAGGGAGCTGAGATCATGCCACTGCACTCCAGCCTGGGTGTGACAGAGGGAGACTCCATCTCAAAGGAAAAAAAAAAGAAAAGAAAAGAAAAAGAAAATATACTAAAAGCAACATGAAACCATATGAAAGTATAAAATAAAGGTAAGTCCATAGATAAATACAGAATACTGTAATACTGTAGTGGCAGCGTGTTAATCAATTTTAATTCTAGTATAAAAGTTAAAACACAAAAGTATTAAGAATAACTATAATTAAAGAATATTAATATGTTAATGGATACACAATATATGAATTGTGACATCAAATATGGAGGGTGGACAAAAATAAAAATCTAGAGCTCTATGTGATGGAAGTTATTATCAGTTTAAAACAGACTGTTATATGATGTTGTATGTAAGCCTCATAATAACCACAAGAAAGATAACTGTGGAATATAGACAAAAGATAGAAAATCAGAAATTAAAGCATACTAGTATAGAAAATCATCTAATCCCAAAGGAAAATAGCAAGAGAGAAGAAAGAAAGGATTTACAAAACAACCAAAAAAATTATTAAAGTGTCAGTAAAAGTTCTTACCTATTAATTACCTTAAATGTAAATGGACTAAATTCTTCAGTCAAAAGACATAGAGTAGCTGGAAGGATTTTTTAAGAGATACAGTTAAACTCTGCTGACAAGAGACTCAAGAGATTCACTTTGCCTTTAAGGACACACATAGATTGAAAGCAAAGAGTTGGAAAAAGATTTTCTATGGAAATGGAAATGAAAAGAAAGCAGGAATAGCTATATATATGTGTGTGTATATGTGTGTATATATATCATATAAAATAAATTTCAAGTTAAAAAACTATAAAAAGAGACAAAAAGGTCATTATATAATGACAAAGAGGTAGGTCCATCAAGAGTAATTGTAATTGTAAATATACATATTTACAATTGTAAATATACATATACGAACACCCTACATTGGAGTACCTAAATATATTAAGCAAATATTAATAGATACGAAGAAAGAGATAGCCTATAATATAATAATAGTAGAAGGCTTCATTACCCCTCTTTCAACAATAAACAAATCATTCAGACAAAAAATCAGTAAAGCAAAACATTGGACTTGAACTACATTTTCAACCAAATGGAGCTAACAAATATAAACAACATTTCATCCAACAGTAGCAGAATACACATTAATCTCAAGCACATACAGAACATTCTCCAGGGGTAGATCATATCTTAGGTTACAAAAAAGTATTAATAAGTGTAAGAAGGTTGAAATTATAGCAGGTATCTTTCCAACCACAATGGTATGAAACTAGAAATCAATTATGGGCAGAACTTCAGAAAGTTCACACATACATGGAAATTAAACAGCACGCTCCTCAACAACTAATTAGTCAAAGAATAAATTAAAAGATAAATTATAAAATATCTTGAGGCAAATAAAAATGGAAAAACAATTTACCAAAGCTTATGGGATATAACAAATGCAGTTCTAAGGGGGAAGTTCATAGCAACAAATATTTTATTTCATCCAAAAAAGAAGAAATAATTTAAGTAAACAATATAATTTTACACCTCAAGAAATTAGAAAAAAGAAGAATACTATAAGCCCAAAATTAGTAAAAGCAAGGAAATTTTAAAGATCAGAGCAGTGATAAATAATTTAGAGACTAAAAATGATCAACAAAAGTAATAGTTGGTTTCTTGAAAAGATTAAGAAAATTGACAAACCTTCATCTAGACTAATTAAGACAAAAATAAAGAAGACTAAAGTTTAGAGATAAGAGATGCCAGAACTAATATCAAAGAAATGCAAAGGATCATCAGTGACTACTGTAAACAATTACATGCCAAGAAATTGGATAACCTAAAAGAAAGAATAAATTCCTAGACTCATATAGTCTACCAAGATTGAATCATGAAGAAGTAGAAAATCTGAACAGATCAATAACAAGTAGAGATATTGAATAAATAATAAAAATTCTCCCATCAAAGGACAGCTCAGAAACTGTTGGCTTCACTGTTGAAA
This sequence comes from Homo sapiens, assembly GCF_000001405.40. NCBI lineage: Eukaryota > Metazoa > Chordata > Mammalia > Primates > Hominidae > Homo > Homo sapiens. The sequence continues at coordinate 58,331,568 of NC_000011.10, read as the reverse complement.
TCTACCAAACATTTAAAGAACTAATATGAATCTTTCTCAAATTCTTTCAAAATATTGAAGAATAAAAGATGCTTTTAAATTCATTTTAGAAGGCCAGCATTACCTGGATACTAAAACCAAACAAGGACACTACAAGAAAAGAAAATTACAGATGAATATTCCTGATTAACATAGATGAAAAATCTATTCAAACCAAAATACTAGCAAACCAGACTCATCAGCACCTTAATAGGATCATTCACCATGATTAAGTGAGATTTATCCCTAGAATGCAGATGATTCAACATACAAAAATCAATTTTGTAAACACACCACATTAACATAATAAAGGATAAAAATTATATGATCATTTCAATCATTGCAGAAAAGGCACTTGATAAAATTCAACATCCTTTCATGATAAAAACACTACAGAAACTAAGTATGGAAGGAATGTACCTCAAGACAGTACGGTCTGTGTGAAAACCCCCAGCTAACATCTTACTCATCATAATGTTATACTTACTGTGGTAATTTGTCTGAAAGGACAAACATAGAATTTGGACTACAAATAGGAATGAAGATTACCAAGATTCAGGAGAAAGTTGAAACCCAATTCAAGGAATCCAAATAATACGATAAAGTGACACAGAAGCTGAAATTCAAATTTGCCATGTTTTTTAAAAAACAACCAAACTGATCTGATAGAGCTGAAAAATTCACTTCAAGAATTTCACAATACAATCACAAGTATTAACAGCAGAATAAACCAACTTGAGAAAAGAATCTCAGAGTTTGAAGAATGGTTCTCTGAATTAACTCAGTTGGAAAAAAAATAAAGAAAAAAATGAATATAACCTCTGAGAAATACAGAATTATGTAAAGAGACCAAATCTAAGACTATTGGCATCCCTAAAAGAGAGGGTGAGAAAGAAAGAAACATGGAATACATATTTGAGGATATTATCCATGAAAATTTTTCCAACCCCACTAATGAGGCCAACATTCAAACTCAGGAAATGCAGAGAACCCCTGTGAAATACTACACTATACAAGATGACCATCCTTAAGACACATAAGTATCAGATTCTCCAAAGTCAACATGAAAAAAGATAACATTAAAGGCAGCTAGACAGAAGGAGTGGGCACCTATGAAGGAAACCCCATCAGGTTAACAGTGGACATGCATTCTTAAAGAAAAGAAACCCCAACCAAGCATTTTATAACCAGCCAAACTAAGCTTCATAAGTGAGGGAGACATAAGATCCTTTTCAGACAGGCAAGTGATCTGCCTTATAAGTAGTCCTTAAGGGAGTGCTAAATATGGAAATGAAATACTGTTACTAGCCACCACAAAAACACCCTTAAGTACATAGACCATTGACACCATAAAGCAACTAAAAGTCAAGTCTACTTAATAACCAGCTGACATCATGACAGGATCCAATCCATGCATATCAATATTAACCTTGAATGTAAATGGGCTAAATGCCCCCAATTAAAAAGCACAGAGTGGCAAGTTGAATAAAGAAGCAAGACCCAGTGGTATGCTGTCTGCAAGAGATCCACCTCACTTGCAATGACAATCATAGGCTCAAAGTAAAGAGACAGAGAAAAATATACCAAGAACACAAACAAAAAAACAAAAAGCAGGGTTTGCAATTCTAATTTTAGACAAGACAGACTTTAAATCAATAACAATACAAAAGACAAAAAAGGCATTATAATAGTAAAAGATTTAATTCAACAAGACTTAACTCCCCTAAATATATGTGCTCCCAAAACAAGAGCACTCAAATTCACAAACCAAGCTCTTAGAGACCTACAAAGAAACTTAGACAACCACACAAAAATAGTAGGAGACATCAACAACACACTTCAGTGTTAGGTCACTAAAGCAGAAAACTAACAAAGATATCTCAGACCTGGTTGGATGCAGTGGTTCACACCTGCAATCCCAGCACTTTGGGAGGCTGAGGTGGGCAGATTACTTGAGTCCAAGAGTTCAAGACAAGCCTGGGCAACATGGCAAAACCCCCTCTCTACAAACAAAACAAAACAAAACAAAAAAACCAACCTGAACTCAACACTTGACAAAATGGACTGAACAGACATCTAAAGAGCTCTTCACCCAAAAGCAACAGAATATACATTCTTGTCATCTGCACATGGCACATATTCTAAAATCGACCACAAAATTTGCTACAAAATCATCCTCAGCAAAATTAAAAAAAAAGCAATATCATATAGAACACATTATCAGATCACAACACAATAAAAATACAAATCAACACTAAGAAGATTGCTCAAAACCATACAATTACATGGAAATTAAACCCCATGCTCCTGAATAACTTCTGGGTAAACAATGAAATTAAGACAGAAATCAAGAAATTATTTGAAACCTGTGAGAACAAACATGTAACACCAGAATCTCTGGGACAGAAATAAAGCAGTGTTAAGAGGGAAATTTATAGCACTAAATGCCCACATAAAAAATTAGAGATATTTCAAATTAACAACCTAACATCACACCTGAAAAGTGAGAAAAACAAGAGCAAACAAATCCTAGAGCTAGCAGAAGGCAAATAATAACCAAAAAGAACAAGGAAATTGAGACATGAAAAAATATAAAAAAGATCAACAAAACAAAAGGTTTGTTTTTTGAAAGAATAAATAAGAATGAAAGACAGCTAGACTAATGAAAAAAGACAGAAGATACAAATAAAGAAAATCAGTAATGACAAAGGGGGAATCACCACCAACCCAACAGAAATACAAAAAATATTCGGACACTATTATAAACACTTCTATGCATACAAAACAGAAAACACATGAAAGGGAGAAATTCCTGGAAACAAACAACCTTCCAAGACTGAAACAGGAAGAAACTGAAACCCTAAACAGACCAATAACAAGACCCCAAATTGAATCAGTAATAAAAGCCTACCAACCAGAAAAAGCCCAGTACCAGAAAAATTCACTGCTGAATTATCCTAGATGTATAAAGATGAGATTATACCATTCTTACTGAAACTATTCTAAAAAATTGAGAAAAGGCTTCTTAATTCTTTTTATAACACCAGCATCCTTTGGATATCAAAACCTAGCAAAGACAAAACAATAAAAAAAGAAAACTTCAAGCTGAAAAATTTGATAAATGTAGATGCAAAATACTAGCAAACCAAATCCAAGAGCACATCACAAAGCTAATCTACAATGATAAAGTAGGCTTTACCCCTGGGGTGTCAAGTTGGTTGGCAAATCAATAAATATGATTCATCAGATATAGAGAATTAAAACAAAACCTTATAATCCTCTCAAGTGTCGTAGAAAATGGTTTTGATAAAATTCAACACTTCATGTTAAAAACTCTCAAAAATAGGCATTAAAAGAACATACTTCAAAATAATAAGAGCCATTTATGACACAGCCACAGCTAACATCATACTGTATCAGCAAAAGTTGGAAGCATTTCCCTTGAGAACTGGAGCAAGACAAGGATGTCCACTCTCACTACTCCTATTCAACATAGTACTGGAAGTCCTAGCCACAGCAACTAGGCAAGAAAAAGAAATAAAAGGCATTCAAATAGAAAGAGAGGAGGCCAAAGTAACCCTGTTGGCAGACAATATGATTCTATACTGAGAAAACCCCATGGTATCTGTCTAAAGGCTCCTAGATCTTATAAACAATTTTAGAAAATTTTTAGGATACAAAATCAATGTAATTAGGACTGCATACCAACAATGTCTGAGCTGAGAGTGAAATCAAGAATGCAATCATGTTTGCAATAGCCACAAAAAGAATAAAGTAGCTAGGAATACAGCTAGCCAGGGTGGGGAGAGATCTCTACAATGAGTTACAAGACACTGCTAAAAGATGTTATTGATAACAAACAAATTGAAAAACATTCCATGCTCACGGATACAAAGAATCAATATTGTTAAAATGGCCATACTTCCCAAAGCAATTTATAGATTTAATGCTATTCCTGTCAATCAATTAATGAAATACTTCACAGAATTAGGAAAAACTGTTCACAATTCATATGGAACCCCCCAAAAAGCCCGAATATCCAAAGCAATCCCAAGAAGAAAGAATAAAGATGGAGGCATCATATTACCCAATTTCAAACTATCCTACAAGACTGTGGTAGTCAAGACAGCATGGTACTGACACACACACACACACACACCAATGAAACAGAGTAGAGAGCCCAGAAGTAAAGCCATACACCTACAACTATCTGATATTTGACCAAGCTGACAAAAACAAGCAATGGGAAAGGACTCTCTATTCAATAAATAGTGCAGGGATAACTGACTAGCTATATGCAGAAGATTGGAACTGGACTCCTTCCTTACACCATATACAAAAATCAATTAAAGATGTAAATGTAATACCTAAAACAAAACCTAGGAAATACTATTATGGACATAGGCCTTAACTAGTGTTTCATGATGAAGATGCCAAAAGCAATTGCAATAAAAACAAAAATTTAAAAATAAGACCTAATTAAACTAGAGCTTCTGCACAGGAAAAGAAACTATCAACAGAGTAAGAAGACAACTCACAGAACAGAAGAAAATTCTTGCAAACTATGTATCCAATAAAGGTCTAATATCCAGAATCTATAAGAAATTTAAACAAATTAACAAGCAAAAAACAAACAACCTTATTAAAAAGTGAGCAAAGTACAAAGTACAAAGAAGACATACACATGGCCAACAAGCATATGAAAGAAATGCAATCCTAAGGAAAAATAACAAAACCAGAGGCATCACATTACCTGACTTCAAACTATACTACAAGGCTACAGTAGCCAAAACAGCATGGTACTAGTACAAAAACAGACACATAGACCGATGGAACAGAAAGAACCCAGAAATAAGGCCACACACCTATATATACCTGATCTTCAGCAAACCTGACAAAAACAAGCAATGGGAAAGCATTGTCTATTCAATAAATGGTGCCGAGATAACTGGCTAGCCAGCCATATGCAGAATATTGAAACTGGACCCCTTCCTTACACCATATACAAAAATTAACTCAAGATGGATTAAAGACTTAAATGTGAAACCTGAAACTATAAAAACCCTGGAAGACAACCTAGGCAACAGCAATTTGGACATAGAAGCAAGGATTTCATGATGAGGATTGCAAAAGCAATCACGACAAAAGCAAAAATTGACAAATGGAATTTAATTAAACTAAAGAGGTTATACACAGCAAAGACATCTATCAAAAAAGTGAACAGATAACCTACAGAATGGGAGAAATTTTTTGCAAACTATGCACTATCCAGCATCCATAAGGAACTTAAATTTACAAAAACAAACAAACAAAAAAAAAACAGGCACTTTTCAAAAGAAGACATACATGTGACCCACAATCATATGAAAAAAAAGCTCATCATCACTTATTAGAGAAATACAAATGAAAACTACAATAAGATACCATCTCACGCCAGTCAGAATGCCTATTATTAAAAAGTAAAAAAAAAAAAAAAAAAAAGATGCTGGTGGGGTTGTGGGAGAAAAAGGAATATTTATGCACTCTTGGTGGGAGTGCATATTAGTGTAACCATTGTGGAAGGCAGTGTGGCAATTCCTCAGAGACCTAAAAACAGAAATACCATTCAACCCAGTGATTCCATTACTGGGTATATACTCAAAGAAATATACACTGTTCTATTATAAAGACATATATGTGCATATGTTCATTGCAGCACTATTCACAATAGCAAAGACATTGAATCAACCTAAATGCCCCTCAATGGTAGACTCATAGACTGGATAAAGAAAATGTAGTACATATATACCATGGAATACTATGAAGCCATGAAAAAGAATGAGATCATGTCCTTTGCAGGAACAAGATGGAGCTGGAAGTCATTATCCTCAGCAAACTAACACAGGAAGAGAAAACCAAATATAGCATGTTCTCACTTATAAGTAGGAGCTAAATGATGAGAAAACATGGACACAAAGAGGTAAAAAACCACACTGGGGCCTATCGAAAGGTGAATGGTGGGAGGAGGGAGAAAATCAGAAAAAAATAACTAGTCAGTACTAAGTTTAATACCTTGGTGACAAAATATTCTATACAGCAAACCCTCATGACACAAGTTTACCTATATAACAAGCCTGCACATGTACCCCTGAACTTAAAATAAAAGTTAAATTTAAAAAAACAATCAATGGCTCAAAAATAGACCTTAAGAAAAATTATAAAATTCTTAGTAATTATTAAAATAAAAACAGTATAACAAAGCATGTAGCATGTAGCAAAACCAGTGGTCAGCAGGAAATTTAAAGCTGTAAATGCCTACATTAAAAAGAAATAAGTCTAAAATCATTAAACTAATTTTGCGCCATGAGAAACTAGAAAAAGAAGAGAAAGCTAAACCCAAAGCTAGCAAAAGGTAGGAAATAACAAAGATTAGCATAGAGATAAATAAAACTGAGAACAGAAAAACAAGTAAAAGAATCATTGAAACCAAAAGTCGGTTATCTGAAAAACTTAAAAAATGAAAAATTTTTATTTTATTGACAAAGAAAAAAAGAAGACACAAATAACTAACACCCAAAATAAAAGTGGTGATATTACTACTGACCTTATAGAAATTTAAAGGATTATAAGAGATTTGACTAACAATTGTGTACAAATATATTAGGCAGTAATTAAAATAAATTCCTAGAAACACAAAAATTACCTGAAATGACTCAGGAAGAAATACAAAATCTTATCGAATGGACGTGTCTCAAGTAAAGAGATTAAATCAGTAATAAAAAACCATCCATAAAAGAAAAATCCAGGACCAGATGGCTTCCCTAGTGAATTCCACTACACATTTAAAAAAAAATAACATCAATCCTTCTAAAATTCCAAAATACAGAGAAGGGAACACATTCCAACTTATTATCTGAGGAAAACTTTGCCCTGACATCAAAGCCAAATAAAGACATCACAAGAAAAGAAAATTATGAAGAAATATCCCTTACTAATATAAATGCATATTTTAAACAAAATATTAGCAAACCAAATCAAACAGTATATTAAAATGATTATGTACTATAACCAAGAAATATTTATCCCAGGAATGCAAGGGTGCCTCAACATGAGAAAATCAATCAATGTAATACACTACATTATTTGAAGAAGGAAAAAAATCACATGATCATCACAATTGATGAAAAATTGCATTTAACAAAATCTAACACCCTGTTAAGAATTAAAAAAAAAAAAAACGAAATCTAGGAATAAATAGAACCTCCTCAACTTCTCAAGGGTATTTATAAAAAATTCAAGGCTAACCTCATATTCAATGATGGAAGAACTGAAAGCTTTCTCCCTGAGATGAGGACCAAGAAGCAAGAAGCTAATAAATGAATTTAACTAAGTTTTCAAGGTACAAAAGCAACATGAAAAAAATCACTTGTGTTTTTATACACTAGCAATGAACAATTTGAAAATGAGATTAAGAAAGCAATTTCATTTATAACTGTATCTAAGATAAAGGCTTCTCTTATCAGTAATTGAATACAGCATTTTGATAAGGAGCTAGTATCCAGAATACACATAGAATGCTTACAACTTAACATTAGAAAGATAAGTAGCCAAATTTTAGAATGGGCAGTATATTTGAATGTATATTGCTCCAAAGAAGACACACCAATGTCCAATAAACACAGAAAAAGATGTTCAGCATCTTTAGTAAAAGCAAATCAAATCCATAGTAAGGCAGTATGGTGGTTCATGCTTGCAATCCCAGCACTTTGGGAGGCCTAGGTGGGAGGACCGCTTGGGACTGGAAATTCAAGACCAGCCTGGGCAACGTAGTGATATCTCATCTCTACAAAAAAATCAAAAAATTAGCCAATTGTAGTGGTGCGTGTCTGTAGTCTCAGCTACTCTGGAGGCTGAGGTAGGAGGAGTGCTTGAGCCCAAAAGTTTAAGGCTGCAATGAGCAGTGATTGCACTATTGCACTTCAGCCTGAGTGAAAGAGTGAGACTCTGTAAGAAAAAAAAAATCCACAGTAAGATACCACTTTATACCTGCTAGGATGGCAGTAATGAAGGAAATGGACACAACAAATTTTTGAGTTATTGTGGAGAAATAGGAACCCTAATATCTTGCAGGGGAGGGGGATGTAAAGCAGTCAAGCAGCTATGGTTTGGCAGTCCGCAAAATGTTAAACAGAGTTACCATATATGACCCGATGATTTTGCTTCTAGGTATATATCGAAGAGAAATGAAAACATATGATCAGGCAAAATTTGCATATGAATGTTCATAGCAGCATATTCAAAATTGCCAAAAGGTGAAAAGAACCTAAATATTCATCAAACGATGAATACATGAATTAAATGTGGTATATTCATAAAATGTAATATTATTCAGTCATAAAAAAGAACAAAGTACTGACATGTGTTACAACATGGAAGAACTTTAAAGATGTTATGCCAAGTAAAAGAATCCAGATACCAAAAGACAAATATTATATAATTCCACTTATATTCAATATCTAGAATAGGCAAATCAATAGAAACAGAAATTCGATTACTCATTGACAGCGGATTTGGGGATAAGAGGAATGGAGGTAACAACTAACATATACGGAATTATTTTTTGTGGTGATAGAAATGTTATGAAATAAGATATTTGTGACGGGTACAAAACATTATGAACATGAAAAAACAGATTGTGCACTTTAAAATGATGAATTTTAGATTGTGAATAATATCTCAATAAAAATATTTCAAGGAAAACATATGAAGTTGAATCCTTTCTTCACACCACGTGCAAAAATTAAACTATAGGCATAAATGTTAAGAGCTACATCTGTAATACTCTTAGGAGAAAATAGAGAAGTAAATCTTTGTGAACTTTAGTTGGGAAAAGACTTTTTACATACAACACTAAAAGCAGAACAGCAAAAGAAAAAATAGGTACATTAGATTTCATCAAAATTAGTATATTTTTTGTTCTAGAGGGCAGCATCAAGAAAGTAGTATTTACCCACAGAGCAGGAGAAAATATTTTCAAATCTTATGAAGGTCTTGTATTTAGAGTATATTAAAAATTCTTATATCAATAATAAAAAGATAATAAATGGGCAAATATATGAATAGGCATTTTTCTAAAGTACATATACAAATGTCCAATTAGCACATGAAAAGATGCTCAACATCATTAGCCAATTGGGAAATACAAATCGGAACCACGATGAATATCACTTTCCAGTAGAATGGCTAAAATAAAAAGGATGGATAGTAGTAAGTGTTGGAAAGGGTGTAGAAAAATAGCAACCCTAAAACATCACTGTTGGAAATGTAAAATAGTGTAGCTTGTTTGAAAAATAGTCTGAAAAACATGTTTGAAAAACAGCTCCTCAAAAGTTTAAACCTAAGAGTTATCACATGATCCAGAAATTTAGCTCAGGTATGCACCCTAAAGAAATGAAAGCATATGCCTACACAAAAAAATCATACAAATTGCATAGTTCAAAATTGCCAAAAGTAGAAACAACAAAAATGTCCATCAACTAAAGAATGGATAAAATATGATATGTCCTTACAACGTAATATTATTCAGCAATAAAAAGAAATGAAGTAATGATAAATGCTACAAAATGGATAAACCTTAAAAACATTATTCTAAGTAAAAGAAGACAGTCGCAAATGATGACATATTGTATGATTCTAGTTAGCTGCAATGTTCATGTTAAACAAATATATAGAGACAGAAATTAGATAAGTGGTTTTCTAAAGCTTGTGGTGGGTGGGGGCATGGAAGAAAATGGGAGTGACTGCTAATCAGTACAAGATTTTTTTTTCAGGTTTTAAAAATGTTCTAAAATTGATTGTGGTGATAGATGCATAACCCAAAGTATACAAAAAAATCATTGAAGTTTATATTTTAAATGGATAAATTTTATGGTCAGTTAATTATATCACAATAAGCCTATTATATAAAGAAACAAGAAATGAATGATAAGGAGAGTGGTTCCCAAGAGCATGTCATTTGTTCAAAAAAATAAAATACATAGACAACAAAATGTACTTAGTTTATTATATGTAATAGACTGGGGAGACTAAGTTACACCACCATAACAAATAAACTCAAAAGTCCAATAATTTAAAACTACTAATATTTATTTATTACTTCTGCTAATATATGTGCATCACAGTTTGTCTAGGAAAGGGGCAGTCTCTCTCCACATGTTTACTCAAATACCCAGGCCAATGGAAGTTTTGCCCTCTGTAGCCACATTCTCTGGAAGATGCAGACTCCCCAGTTACCATAGCAGAGGGAGAGGCAAATGGATGGTTTTGCTTGGGCTTTTCTATACTTCAACCCCAAAATAACTCATACTGCTTCTTCTCCAGTCCATTTTATAGAGCTAGTTCATGGTTCTACCTAGTTGCAAAGGGACAGGGAAATATGAGGAGCAGGTGTAATGTTTGAGCACCACAATTTTTGTTCCACATGAGATAGTAATTTTTAATTTATGATGAAATAGTGGTACTTAAATGCATTGATCTCTTGATATGTTCCAGATATCATGACCTGCTTTGTATATATATCATTTCATCTTTATGATTCTCCTATGAGATACATAGGATAATTATCTTATTATCTCCTTTATATAGGTGACATACTGAAGTTTGGAGAGATTAAATAATTTGGCCAAGGTCACATTGCAAAAGGTGACAGGACTAGGATTGAAGCTAAGCCACATGACCACACAGCTCACATTTATAATAACTACACTTGACTGCATTGATAAAAGAGAGATAATTCTGCCTTGTAGTTGGTGGGATCAGAGGCAACTATGCAGAAGAAAGAATGGATTCATTTCCTTAGGTTGAAAAGTAAGGAAAAAGATCCCCAGACCACTCTAGTTGTAAGACAAATAGGTATTTTGTTTTTAAAAAAATAGAAAACAAAAATGAAAGAAAATCCTGGGGAGATCACTAAACATTTGAGAAAAAGCTAGATATGAGAAAGTTTGCATGAGGTCCTGACATTACCTTAGCTAGATATTTTAGTGAGGCTTTTATTTTTGCTCCTTAACATGGCTATGGCACTGATGATTTGATGATTGGAGGCTCTTCCCTCTAAGCTTCCATTTCTCCATGTCTTCATAAGCATTCCCAGCCCAAATGCAAACTATCTTCTGCTGTCTTCAGTCAAGGTCAGATGGGGAGGGCCAACCTGGGATCAGGAACCTCCTGAGATATCCACTGGCAGGATGCTAAATGTTTCTCCTGAGATTGGTCTCTGCCACTGCCTTGATATTTGTAAGAGCACAGCCTAGATTATGTTCCACAACATAGAGTTCCACAGGTGGGGAGTTTCTCTAGCATGATGCTTTTCTGGATGTGGATTTCCAGTCAATGGTCTGGACTTGAAGGTTTTCCATACCCTGTTCTTTGTATCCTCAATTTGTCTGTTCCTAGGACAAAAGTAAGTATCAAAAAAAAAAAAAAAAAAAAAAAAACCCTCACAATCATAGCCAGTTAGAATTGCAAGGGGTGCTAGAAGGTCTAATCATTTTTCTTTACGAACAAATACACAAAAGGAAAATAAAGCCTTCAGCAGTTAGAGTCTACCATAGACACCCTGCTGGCTAGCTGTCTTCTGACTCCTTGTCCACTGCTCCTTCCACTCTACTAAGCTGCTCTACAGCACCCAGATTTCCACACTCATTACCCTCTGATGACTTGTATAAATGGTTGGGGTGACGGTTATACTCAAAAGGGAGACCATACTTCCTAATTTGCTTTTAATTAGAATGTGCTATACACATAGCAGTGCAAAGATCTTACCTCCCTTTCTGAATTTCAGGAGTTGTAACACTTTCAACATCTATTTGGGGATATCAAATATTAGGTTATTTACTTTAGAAACATTAAAGTTTGGAAACTCAATATTGGCTGCTTATACTGCAGTAACCAAGAAGAGATGCAATGAGCTATAAAAAGTAATGGCTCAGATTGCCTAATTAAAATTGTTAGTATCTTTTATAATTTTAAAAGAACCTTCAAATTCATTGTCACATAAGAGCAGAAAAGCATACGAGACAGTTGGAGAATGATTTTCACCTTGGCTAGTCTCAATAAGGGCTATATCATTACCTGCCTTGAATATGAAAGATTATTAAACCAAAAGAAACAACTGTGACTCAAGACTGCAGATTCAGAAGGTCCCTTGAATTGAAAGGGCCTCTCAGTACTATAAACATGGCAACAGAGTAAGATGTCACCTGATCCACCACTGGAAGTAAGTATCACTAGATACACTATGTAATACAGTAGGAGGTCTGTGACTTGATTAAGGGCACGGAGTTTCTAGAGGAGAACAAAAGTGACTTTTTCGATCTTCCCCTATTCTCCCTCCCCACAAATAATGCAAAGACATGGGTGATGGTGGGAGATGAAAACATCAGCCCATAAGAAAAAAAAAAAGATTGTGAGATGAAGAGAAAACACCTAAAGCTTTGCTTCAACCTTTTGAAAACTGTTCCTTTGGTTTTTTAGTTACTGAGTGACACCAACACATCAGTACGAATGTGCATCACAGATCTTGCAGTTTCTTTTAGTGGCCAGTGAAGCACCCAATTAAGGGCCCTGATAAATTAGGCAGAAAAGTGTGGGTGTCCCTAGAGAAGGGCCTTGAATTTTTGCATGTTTTCAGCTATTAAGAACAGATTTTTAAGATGTCTATGAGAGATGGGAACTGCATGTGACAGGACTTGTCAGCATCACATACCAAAGAATGATCAAATATTTCCTGTATTTCGCTTTCTGTTGAGTAAGATTTTTACGTAAATAAGAGGGCTTCAAAGATACGGCAAGTAGTGAAAAAGGGTGTTGTGTGATTTAGTGTAATAGAGTATATCATACACTAGGAAAGCTGAAATGTGCCCCAGAGATATAATACAGACCACTGAGCCAGTCATGGTCAGCAGAGACATGCCAGTATCCACACTGCTTCAGCATTAATGGCCTCACTCAACCCACCCCTACCCAGAATCTGGTCCAACATCTTGCACACAGACTCCTGCACTGGACAGGAAGCTGAGATGTGAGCAAGAGACCTGGCCACACTTTAGCTCCCATGATAGTGATCAGTTAGCATAATTTTGTGTTTTTTCATCATAGGTAACTCTCAGGATAATTCCCAAATGACTTTGATGGATAACATTTCAGAAGTGACAGAATTCGTTCTCGTGGGGTTAACAGATGTCCTAGAGCTTCAGGTCCCTTTATTTATCATCTTTACTGTCATTTATCTCACCACTCTGGTTGGGAACTTTGGGATGATCATGTTGATTCTGTTGGACTCCCGGCTCCACATTCCCATGTACTTTTTCCTTGGCAAACTCTCTCTGGTGGACAGTGTTTGTCCTGCTAGTCACTGGCTCCTACATCTGTGGACTCTTTCAATCCTCCATCCATGTTGCTTTTACTTTCCATCTCTCCTTCTGTCATTCTAATGTGGTTAATCACTTTTTTTGTGATATTCCACCACTCTTAGCTCTTTCTTGCTCTGATATTTACGCACATGAGATTGTGCTCTTCATATTGGCAGCATTTAATATCTTTTTCACTCTCTTGATTATCTTGAACTCTTATGTTTTTATTTTTATTGCTATCCTGAGGATGCATTCAGCTGAGGGACAAAAGAAGGTCTTTTCCACCTGTGCCTATCACCTCACTACTGTTTCCATCTTCTATGGGACAATCACCTTTATGTACTTACAGCCAAGTTCTGGTCATTCCATGGACACAGACAAAATCTCATCTGTGTTCTACACCATGGTCATCCCCATGCTTAACCCTCTAGTCTATAGCCTGAGGAACAAAGAAGTCCAGAGTGCATTCAAGGTGGTTATTGGAAAAGCAAAGTCTTCATTGGGCTTAGCCTACTATTTATAAATTGGTTGCAAACATGTTGAAATTTCACTGGATCTCCAGTGTCTAATAATTTGTTTTATTTTAATTATTTCTTGTCTTTAATTTCTCTGAGCACTTCCTTCACACATGAGATCTGTTCTATTCATATTTTGGGAATATGATTAGGTTAGAGAAAATTTTGGATGTCTTTTACCAGAAATAAAATGCCACTTCTATTTTACTATCAAAATTATAATCCTAGATAGTATAGAATTTCACACTACATCATACTATTAGTGTAAAGTGCTTTGCAGGTAAGCCTCACAGGTGTATAATACCGGAATCATATTCTCAATTCCTAGAATTCAAAACAAATCCATGGTTCTTGTACACAGCAAGGAGCCATCGTTCTTAGAAATTAGTGCAGCTGTGAATCACCCTGAGAGATTCTCAAAAGGCAGAATCCTAGGATCTAATCCAAAATAATCTCTTTTAGTACATCTGTGGTGAATCCAGAAATCCATTGCAGTATCTTTCACTATCCACATCTATCTGGATCCTGAGCTTAAAAACTGTGAGGCTTCCAGTGGTGAATTTGGATAATTAGGAATACTGTATAATCTAAATGTATTTCGTTCCTGAATTTCAAAGATCAAAAACAGAGTTCAGAGGGCAAGAATCAATCCAAAAACATATCTGTATCTCTTTCTTATCTGAATTCTAGACAGAAGTTTAATGATGTCTAACACTTGGACAGCAACATTTCCTGTCATATATGCTTCTGTAAATTTCTAATAAAAATAAAAAATGAATTTCTAAAGCTCGAAATTTGTGTGTGGATTATTTCTGTGAATGGAAGCATTGAGAAGAGAAAAATGAACTCAAGTTTTTCCCCAAACTATTAACTGTGACTTTGACATCTAACAAGACACTGAAGTCAAGATCAACGGTGAGGGGACATCTTTTCAGGTGGGATACAGGGAAATGAAATAATATCATTAGTCACCAAGAGGGGTTCAATCAGGCACAGTCAAACTCACAGCCAAGATGGAGTCATCTGTAAGTTAAAAAATGATCTCTAGAACTGGTAACTAGAGGGAGTTGTGCACTCTTGAGGACTGGCATCAACTCATATATCAGCCCTCTCATTCTTCACCAAGCTTGGTTTTTTATACTATCAAAGTCATTAAATGCCCACTCAATGAAAAAATAAAATAAATCGAAATTATTAAATAATTACATAAATGAATGAGGGAATATATGAGTGGATGATAATATGGGTGAGTAAATGAATGAGTATGTGAGTGAGAGGAAGTGGAACTGAGATGGAAAAGAATGAGTCAGCAGCAAACTGGATCCCTAATAGCTAATCACAGGATTCAAGAGCTACTCATTCTATGTAGCCAGAGAGAGGACACCTCTCAGATCACAAATATGTTCAAATTTTAGGAATCTTTCTGTGCTTCAGTTACCGTGTCAGTAAAATGTGCATAGCAATAGTACCTACTTCATAGGATTGGGTTGATATTTAATGAGATAGTACATTTTAGTCACTTTATTGTAAAGAAATAAATGCAACATATTTTTATTATACTTTTAGCAAAAGCAATAGAGAACCGGACCATCCCACCTCTCTGTTCCTCTCCCATTACAGAACTGCCTCACTTTTTTCTCTATTTCTTTGGATTCTTAACCTGTGCTCATATTCAACCTCCACCTAGAGACATTTTTCTGAAGCCAAGGACCTTACAGATAAACCATAACGAGGACAGATTTCCCTTTCTGCCTTTGTTTAATCTGATCAGTAAAGCAATGTTTAACATTGTGACCTCTGCTGCAGATTCCTCTCATTCTTCTCTGCTTAAGTTGTCCAGGAAATGTGTTAAATATGGAAGACTTTCATGTCCTTCTCAATAGAGGCACTAAAATGCAAATGACAATTTAAAAAACTTCAGGCCGGGTGCGGTGGCTCACGCCTGTAATCCCAGCACTTTGGGAGGCTGAGGTGGGCAGATCACGAGGTCAGAAGATTGAGATCATCCTGGCCAACATGATGAAACCGCGTATCTACTAAAAATACAAAAATTAGCTGGGCATGGTGATGCGCACCTGTAGTCTCAGCTACTAGGGAGGCTGAGGCAGGAGAATCGCTTGAACCTGGGAGGCGGAGGTTGCAGTGAGCCGAGGTCGCACCACTGCACTCCAGCCTGGTGACAGAGCGAGACTCTGTCTCACCAAAAAAAAAATAAATAAATAAATAAATAATAAAAAATAAAAAAAATTCAAATAATGAGATTCATTATATTCTTGGGACATCTGTCCCTGAAACGCATGCACATACCATATAGCCTCTTTACCTCTTTAGTCCTTTCTGATGTTCTAGGAGTCAGATTTACTTTGCAATAACATATGTACATTTTATTAGTGGCTTTCTTAAGACAGTGTTATTTGTTAAGAAATTGAGTGAAGGGTAAAAGCAGAGGAAGCATAGTATAGCAAAGATATTGAGTACATGTAGGTATAAGAGAATATCATAATGTCGTATCATGAGAGGATTTCCTTCTTTTATAATACAAAATCCATTTCCATAAAGTTGTTGATGACTCCATCAAGTAAAGTTTATTCCAATTTCAAATTCAATCATGAGTGTATGTGTCAGCATCATTATATGGGCAAACATTCCCGAACTTATTGATTGGGTTAAACTTTATTGATTGGAAGGTTGGAACATTTTAAACCCAATAAAGGTAATCTGCTGTGTAATATATCAATATTTTCTATAAGGGCCAATTTAAATTTCATCAGTAAGTAGCCCATTAAGCAACTGAAAAGAAAGTAAGGGAAAAATGTCTTCTTCCACTACTCTAAACACATAGAAATTATATACTATGTATTTAAAAATAAATACTTTGGCTCAACACCATGTATACAAATATCTGTAGCCCAGAAAGCACAGGAAACTTCAATGATGAGTGAGATATGAGCCTGTGATCTACTAAGCTCTGGGAATGGAACAAAATGTTGAGCCCTTGATAGAAACATCCCTGGGGAATAATGAACAAACATGTTCAGTAAGTGTCAGTAACAGATTACCTTTGAAAAATAGGAAATCTATATGTGATTCCTTCCCATAACTGGAAGCTAAGTTAAATCTCTTAATACCGTCTTGGTTTATCTCCATAACCAGTCCTCATGCCTTCCTCATTTGCTTGATGAAAAACAGGATCAAACCATCAGTGCCAAAACTCTGATACACTAATGTAAGATCTGTGAATATTAGGAATTTTGGCCATTGAAACTACAAAACCAATTGACAGAGAGAGAGGGCTTATTCAATAAAGAGAAAACAAAGTACACCAATATGAAATGAGCTCTTAAATAAATAGGGGTATATTAAATGTAGGGGAATCCGAATCTCAATAATAAAACACAGTCAAGAGACTCAATAAACATAAAAGATAAGACCCACAAAAAAATATTATGTGCAAAGGGAAAATAAATCATAGTGTAAGACATAAACTTTAAAATAAGCATGCTTAAAATACCCACTAGTTATTAAGTAAGTACATCCATAAAATCAGAGCAATAAACAAATAAAACAAAACATAAGTGGCTACTAATCTGCACAGGAAAAATGAAGAGGAAACAAATAAGAAGACTTGAAAATAAAATTTACTTTATCAAAAATGTTGCAAAATTCTTCAATGAATGGCATATATACAAACGTAGACAAAACTGAATTTGGAATTAGCATATAGATGTTAGAACTTTAAAAATGTTCAAAATACCACTTAGAAAGAAAAAAGATGAAAAATATAAGAGTTGGTTTAAGAGATACACAAGCTATGTTGAGAAACTGGAAACTCTCTTCCCTCTCATTTTCCCTTTCCCAACTTGGGACCCTCAGTGGATATCAGCTATGAATGGAGAAAATTGCAGGTCTCTGACTGGAGCTACACTCTGGTTGAACAAAATGATATCTGTGTGGATACATCTAATAAAATCTGTATTATACCAACATCTACTAGGAATTTCAGAAAGAAAAAACAAAATAAACAGGAGAAAATCAACATCAAAATAGAAAATTATTAAGAAGTTGGTAAATTGAGGAAATTTATAAGTCGCACCAATTTCTGAAAGGGATACATTTTTTAAACCTTTATCTGATCATATTGTTGTGAAATTGGAAAATCAAGAAGAAAACATTTTTAGATGCCAGGGAGAGAAACATACAAAGCATTAATAATCAGAGTGAAAACAGACTTCTCATAAAACCATAAAAGCCAGCAGACAGTGGATTAATATTTTTCAAGGGTTGAGGAAAGTTTAATACCACTCCAGATTTTTATACTCAGATAAAGTATCATTCCTGTGTGATGACAAAATGAGGATATCTTCAGATGTACAAAGATTGAAAGTTACTTTACTATTCACAAGTGCTGAAGTACAAAGAGGGTATTTCAGCAAGGGTGAAGAAAGGCAATTTATCTGATTGGGGATTTGGGAAGAAAGAATGAAGGCTTCCTGGTTCATATGTTTCTCTCTCTTTTTGCTCTCCCTATCTCAGCAAGGGAAACTTCTTGATATGGTTTGGCTGTGTTCTCATCCAAATTTAACCTTGAATTGTAGCTCCCATAATTCCCACGTGTCATGGGAGGGACCAGGTGGGAGGTAATTGAATCATGGGGGTGGGAGATTTTTTTGTGCTGTTCTCATGATAGTGAATAAATCTCACAAGATCTGATGGGTTTATAAATGCGAGTTCCCCCGCACACGCTCTCTTGCCTGCCACCATGTAAGATGTGCCTTTGATCCTCCTTCACCTTCTGCCATGATTGTGAGGCCTCCCCAGCCATGTGCAACTGTGAGTCCATTAAACCTCTTTTTCTTTATAAATTACCCAGTCTTGGGTATGTCTTTATTAGCAGTGTGAGAACGTGAGAGGTGAAGCCAGCTGGACTTCTGGGTCAAGTGGGGACTTGGAGAATTTTTCTGTCTCACAAGAGGAATGTAAAATGCATCAATCAGCACTCTGTAGCTAGGGTTGTAAAATGCACCAATCAGCGCTCTGTGGCTAGCTAGAGCTTTGTAAAATGTGCCAATCGGTGCTCTGTAAAAATGCACTAATCAGCACTCTGTGGCGAGCTAGAGGTTTGCAAAATAGACCAATCAGCACTCTGTAAAATGGACCAATCAGCAGGACATGGGAAGGGTCAAATAAGGGAATAAAAGCTGATTATCCCAGCCAGCAGTGGCAACCCACTTGGGTCCCCTTCTACAGGGTGGAAGCTTTGTTCTTTCCCTCTTCACAGTAAATCTTGTTGCTGCTCACTCTTTGGATCCGTGTCACCTTTAAGAGATGTAACACCATGAAGGTCCACAGCTTCATTCTTGAAGTCAGTGAGACCATGAACCCACTGGAAGGAACCAACTCCGGACACATCTTGGTGACCATGAAGGGACTATCACCAAGTGATGAGTAGCATTGGACCCCTTTCACTTGCTATTCTGTCCTATTTTTCCTTAGAATTCGGGGGCTAAACACTGGACATCTGTTGGCCATTTAAAAGAGACTAACGTGGCCACCAGACTAAAGACACAGGTGTCAGGCTTTCTGGGAAAGGGCTCTCTAACAACCCCTGACTCTTTAGAGTTGGGAGCTTTGGTTTGCCTGGAACCGGCTTCCACTTTTCCTGTATTCCCAGACTGAGCCGAGGGTCGACAGAGGAAAGCCATTCAGCTCCGGGGTCCTAACAAAACATTGGTTAACCCTGCAGCCATGAGCAGAACTCTCAAAGTCACATTACCCAAGTGAGACTTGTCCATCTATCCTATCTATCCTGACCCTTGTGTCCTGGGTCATAATGCCTGTCAGACATATTTCCTCCTGCCTTTCTTCTCTGAGGCTAGTCCCACTTCTAAACACCACTCCCTGTCTCTGGTGCTCTTCTAGTTTCTCCTATAAGAATGACTCCTAGTATAAATTTCAGGACCCCGTTCCTTTCTTTAGGCACTCAGTCTCACCAATCAGAAAGACATAATTTTTGCCCAAAGCCCTGTCAGATGGGGAGACTCTCTGGAATTTTAGGATCCCTCCTCAGACTAGCAGGCCTAACAAAGATTATTCCCGAAGCTAGGATATGGGGAGTCTCAGAAATGATATCCTTCCTATCCATATGAAGAGAAGTAAGGACAAAAGGTGTCACTCTTCCAACCCTGGAGATCCCTTCCCTCCCTCAGGGTATGGCCCTCCACTCCATTTTGAAGCATATCATCTTTGTAGGACAGGAGTAAGGTCCCAATACTAACAGGAGAAAACACTTAGGACTCTAACAGGTTTTCGCGAATATGTTGGTAAGGGCCACTAAATCCGATTTTTCTCAGTCAGTCCTCTTTGTGGTCTAAGAGGAAAGGCAAGGGTGCAGGTTTTTGAGAATGCATTGGTAAGGGCCACTAAATCCGACTTTTCTCAGTCCTCTTTGTGGTCTAGGAGGAAAACTAGTGTTTCTGCTGCTGCATCGGTGAACGCAACTATTCTGATCAGCAAGGTCCAGGGACCGTGGCGGGTTCTTGGACAAGAGAGGGATCTGCTGCCATGTCAGTGAGTACAACTATTCTGATCAGCAGGGTCCAGGGACCGTTGCAGGTTCTTGGGCAGGGCGGGGAAAAAACAAACCAAAACCACGGGTAGTTTTTTTCTTTCAGATGAGAAATGCTCAGGCAAAAACAGGCTCACCCTTGAAATGCATTCTAAGCCATTGGGACCAATGTGACCTGCAAACCCTGAAAAAGAGGCAGCTCATTTTTTTCTGCACTATGGCCTGGCCCCAATATTCTCTCTCTAATGGGAAAAAATAGCCACCAAAGGGAAGTATAAATTACAATACTATCCTGAAGCTTGACCTTTTCTGTAAGACGGAAGGCAAATGGAGTGAAATACCTTATGTTCAAGCTTTCTTTTCATTGAAGGATAATCCATAACTATGCAAAGCTTGTAATTTACATCCCACAAGAGAACCCCTCAACTTACCTCCATATCCTAGCCTCCCTACAGCTCCCCTCCCTATTGATAAGACTCCTCTAATCCCCCCCACACAGAAGGAAACAAGCAAAGAAATCTCCAAAGGACCACAAAACCCCCAGGGCTATTGGTTGTGTCCCCTTCAAACTGTAGGGGGAGGGCAATTTGGCCCAACCCAGGTACATGTCCCCTTCTCCCTCTCTGATTTAAAACAGATCAGGGTAGACCTGGGAAAATTTTCAGATGATCCTGATAGGTACATAGATATCCTACAGGGTGTAGGGTAAATCTTTGACCTCACTGGGAGAGATGTCATGCTATTGTTAGGTAAAACCCTGGCCTTTAATGAAAAGTATGTGGCTTTAGCTGCAGCCCAAGAGTTTGGACATACCTGGTATCTTAGTCAAGTAAATGATAGAATGACAGCTGAAAAAAGGGACAAATTCCCTACTGGTCAGCAAGCCATCCCAGTATGGATCCTCACTGGTACCTTGACTCAGATCATGGGGACTGGAGTCACAAACATCTGTTGACCTGTGTTCTAGAAGGACTAAGAAGAATTAGGAAAAAGTCCATGAATTATTCAATGATGTCCACCATGACTCAGGGAAAGGAAGAAAATCCTTCTGCCTTCCTCAAGCAGCTATGGGAGGGCTTAAGAAAATATACTCCCCTGTCACCCAACTCCCTTGAGTGTCAATTGATCCTAAAAGATAAGTTTATTACCCAGTCAGCCTCAGATATCAGGAGGAAGCTCCAAAAGTGAGCTCTGGGCCCTGAACAAAATCTGGAGGCATTATTAAGCCTGACAACCTCGGTATTCTATAATAGGGACCAAGAGGAACAAACCAAAAAGGAAAAGTGAGATCAGAGAAAGGCCACAGCCATGGGGTGATGGGAGTGGAGCCAAGATGGCTGAATAGGAACAGCTCCAGTCTACAGCTCCCAGCATGAGCGACACAGAAGATGGGTGATTTCTGCATTTCCAACTGAGCCTTGAAGAGGGGAGTGGTTCTCCCGGCACACAGCTGGACATCTGAGAATGGACAGACTGCCTCCTCAAGTGGGTCCCTGACCCCCAAGTAGCCTAACTGGGAGGCACCCTCCAGTAGGGGCAGACTGACACCTCACATGGCCGGGTACTCCTCTGAGACAAAACTTCCAGAGGAACAATCAGGCAGCAACATCTGCTGTTCACCAATATCCGCTGTTCTGCAGCCTCTGCTGCTGATACCCAGGCAAACAGGGTCTGGAGTGGACCTCCAGCAAACTCCAACAGACCTGCAGCTGAGGGTCCTGACTGTTAGAAGGAAAACTAACAAACAGAAAGGACATCCACACCAAAAACCCATCTGTATGTCACCATCATCAAAGACCAAAGGTGGATAAAATCACAAAGATGGGGAAAAAACAGAGCAGAAAAACTGGAAACTCTAAAAATCAGAGTGTGTCTCCTCCTCCAAAGAATGCAGCTCCTCACCAGCAATGGAACAAAGCTGGACAGAGAACGACTTTGACGAGTTGAGAGAAGAAGGCTTCAGACGATCAAACTACTCCAAGCTAAAGGAGGAAGTTCGAATGCATGGCAAAGAAGTTGAAACCTTGAAAAAAAATTAGAAATTAGACGAATGGCTAACTAGAATAACCAATGCAGAGAAGTTCTTAAAGGACCTGATGGAGCTGAAAACCAAGGCACGAGAACTACGGGATGAATGCACAAGCCTCAGAAGCTGATTTGATCAACTGGAAAAAAGGGTATCAGTGATGGCAGATGAAATGAATGAAATGAAGTGAGAAGGGAAGCTTAGAGAAAAAAGAATAAACAGAAATGAACAAAGCCTCCAAGAAATATGGGGCTATGTGAAAAGACCAAATCTACATCTGATTGGTGTACCTGAAAGTGATGGGGAGAATGGAACCAAGTTGGAAAACACTCTGCAGGATATTATCCAGGAGAACTTCCCCAGTCTAGCAAGGCAGGCCAACCTTCAAATTCAGGAAATACAGAGAATGCCACAAAGATACTCCTTGAGAAGAGCCACTCCAAAACACATAACTGTCATATTCACCAAAGATGAAATGAAGGAAAAAATGTTAAGGGCAGCCAGAGAGAAAGGTCGGGTTACCCACAAAGGGAAGCCCATCAGACTAACAGCTGATATCTCGGCAGAAACTCTACAAGCCAGAAGAGAGTGGGGGCCAATATTCAACAATCTTAAAGAAAAGAATTTTCAACCCAGAATTTCATATCCGGCCAAACTAAGCTTCATAAGTGAAGGGGAAATAAAATCCTTTACAGACAAGCAAATGCTGAGAGATTTTGTCACCACCAGGCCTGCCCTAAAAGAGCTCCTGAAGGAAGCACTAAACATGGAAAGGAACAACCGGTACCAGCCACTGCAAAAACATGCCAAATTGTAAAGCCCAATGAGGCTAGGGAGAAACTGCACCAACTAACAAGCAAAATAACCAGCTAACATCATAATGACAGGAACAAATTCAAACATAACAATATTAACCTTAAATATAAATGGGCTAAATGCTCCAATTAAAAGACACAGACTGGCAAATTGGATAAAGAGTCAAGACCCATCAGTGTGCTGTATTCAGGAAACCCATCTCATGTGCAGAGACACACATAGGCTCAAAATAAAGGGATGGAGGAAAATCTACCAAGCAAATGGAAAACAAAAAAAGGCAGGGGTTGCAATCCTAGTCTCTGATAAAACAGACTTTAAACCAACAAAGATCAAAAGAGACAAAGAAGGCCATTATATAATGGTAAAGGGATCAACTCAACAAGAAGAGCTAACTATCCTAAATATATATGCAACCAATACAGAAGCACCCAGATTCATAAAGCAAGTCCTTAGAGACCTACAAAGAGACTTAGACTCCCACACAATAATAATGGGAGACTTTAACACCCCACTGTCAACATTAGACAGATCAACGAGACAGAAAGTTAACAAGGATATCCAGGAATTGAACTCAGCTCTGCACCAAGTGGACCTAATAGACATCTACAGAACTCTCCACCCCAAATCAACAGAATATACATTCTCCTTAGCAGCACACCACACTTATTCCAAAATTGAGCACATAGTTGGAAGTAAAGCTCTCCTCAGCAAATCTAAAAGAACAGAAGTTGTAACAAACTGTCTCTCAGACCACAGTGCAATCAAACTAGAACTCAGGATTAAGAAACACACTCAAAACCACTCAACTACACGGAAACTGAACAACCTGCTCCTGAATGACTACTGGGTACATAACAAAATGAAGGCAGAAATAAAGATGTTCTTTGAAACCAATGAGAACAGAGACACAACATATCAGAATCTCTGGGACACATTCAAGGCAGTGTGTACAGGGAAATTTATGGCACTAACTGCCCACAAGAGAAAGCAGGAAAGATCCAAAATTGACACCCTAACATCACAATTAAAAGAACTAGAGAAGCAAGAGCAAACACATTCAAAAGCTAGCAGAAGGCAAGAAATAACTAAGATCAGAGCAGAACTGAAGGAAATAGAGACAAAAAACACCTTTCAAAAAATCAGTGAATCCAGGAGCTGGTTTTTTGAAAAGATCAACAAAATTGATAGACCGCTAGCAGGACTAATAAAGAAGAAAAGAGAGAAGAATCAAATAGACACAATAAAAAATGACAAAGGGGACATTACCACTGATCCCACAGAAATACAAACTACCATCAGAGAATACTATAAACACCTCTATGCAAATAAACTAGAAAATCTAGAAGAAATGGATACATTCCTCGACACATACACCCTCCCAAGACTAAACCAGGAAGAAGTTGAATCTCTGAATAGACCAATAACAGGCTCTGAAATTGAGGCAATAATTAATAGCTTACCAACCAAAAAAAGTCCAGGACCAGATGGATTCACAGCCGAATTCTATCAGAGGTACAAAGAGGAGCTGGTACCATTACTTCTGAAACTATTCCAATCAATAGAAAAAGAGGGAATCCTCCCTAACTCATTTTATGAGGCCAGAATCATCCTGATACCAAAGCCTGGCAGAGACACAACCAAAAAAGAGAATTTTAGACCAATATCCTTGATAAACATTGATGCAAAAATCCTCAATAAAATACTGGCAAACCAAATCCAGCAGCACATCAAAAAGCTTACTCACCATGATCAAGTGGGCTTCATCCCTGGGATGCAAGGCTGGTTCAACATATGAAAATCAATAAACGTAATCCAGCATATAAACAGAACCAAAGACAAAAACCACATGATTATCTCAATAGATGCAGAAAAGGCCTTTGACAAAATTCAACAACCCTTCATGCTAAAAACTCTCAATAAATTAGGTATTGATGGGACGTATCTCAAAATAATAAGAGCTATCTATGACAAACCCACAGACAATATCATACTGAATGGACAAAAACTGGAAGCATTCCCTTTTAAAGCTAGCACAAGACAGTGATGCCCTCTCTCACCACTCCTATTCAACATAGTGTTGGAAGTTCTGGCCAGGGCAATCAGGCAGGAGAAGGAAATAAAGGGTATTCAATTAGGAAAAGAGGAAGTCAAATTGTCCCTATTTGCAGATGACATGATTGTATATCTAGAAAACCTCATTGTCTCAGCCCCAAATCTCCTTAAGCTGATAAGCAACTTCAGCAAAGGCTCAGCATACAAAATCAATGTGCAAAAATCGCAAGCATTCTTATACACCAATAACAGACAAACAGAAACTCCCATTCACAATTGCTTCAAAGGGAATAAAATACCTAGGAATCCAACTTACAAGGGATGTGAAGGACCTCTTCAAGGAGAACTACAAACCACTGCTCAATGAAATAAAAGAGGATACAAAGAAATGGAAGAACATTCCATGCTCATGGGTAGGAAGAATCAATATTGTGAAAATGGCTATACTGCCCAAGGTCATTTATAGATTCAATGCCATCCCCATCAAGCTACCAATGACTTTCTTCACAGAAATGGAAAAAACTACTTTAACGTTCATATGGAACCAAAAAAGAGCCCGCATTGCCAAGTCAATCCTAAGCCAAAAGAACAAAGCTGGCGGCATCACACTACCGGACTTCAAACTATACTACAAGGCTACAGTAACCAAAACATCATGGTACTGGTACCAAAACAGAGATATAGACCAATGGAACAGAACAAAGCCCTCAGAAATAATTCCGCATATCTACAACTATCTGATCTTTGATAAAACTGACAAAAACAAGCAATGGGGAAAGGTTTCCCTGTTTAATAAATGATGCTGGGAAAACTGGCTAGCCATATGTAGAAAGCTGAAACTGGATCCCTTCCTTACACCTTATACAAAAATTAATTCAAGATGGATTAAAGACTTACATGTTAGACCTAAAACCATAAAAACCCTAGAAGAAAACCTAGGCAATACCATTCAGGACATAGGCATGGGCAAGGACTTCATGTCTAAAACACCAAAAGCAATTGCAACAAAAGCCAAAATTGACAAACAGGATCTAATTAAACTAAAGAGCTTCCACACAGCAAAAGAAACTACCATCAGAGTGAATAGGCAACCTACAGAATGGGAGAAAATTTTTGCAAGCTACTCATCTGACAAAGGGCTAATATCCAGAATCTACAATGAACTCAAACAAATTTACAAGAAAAGAACAAACAATCCCATCAAAAAGTGGGTGAAGGATATGAACAGACACTTCTCAATAGAAGACATTTATGCAGCCAAAAGACACACTTGAAAAAATGCTCATCATCACTGGCCATCAGAGAAATGCAAAAATCAAAACCACAATGAGATACCATCTCACACCAGTTAGAATGGCGATCATTAAAAAGTCAGGAAACAACAGGTGCTGGAGAGGATGTGGAGAAATAGGAACACTTTTACACTGTTGGTGGGACTGTAAACTTGCTCAACCATTGTGGAAGTCAGTGTGGTTATTTCTCAGGGACATTGAACTAGAAATACCATTTGACCCAGCAATCCCATTACTGGGTATATATCCAAAGGATTATAAATCATGCTGCTATAAAGACGCATGCACACGTATGTTTATTGTGGCACTATTCACAATAGCAAAGACTTGGAACCAACCCAAATGTCCAACAATGATAGACTGGATTAAGAAAATGTGGCACATATACACCATGGAATACTATGCAGCCATAAAAAAATGATGAGTTCATGTCGTTCGTAGGGACTTGGATGAAGCTGGAAACCATCATTCTCAGCAAACTATCACAAGGACAAAAAACCGAACACTGCATGTTCTCACTCATAGGTGGGAATTGAACAATGAGAACACATGGACACAGGAAGGGGAACATCACACACCAGGGCCTGTTGTGGGGTGGGGGGAAGGGGGAGGGATAGCATTAGGAGATATACCTAATGTTAAATGATGAGTTAATGGGTGCAGCACACCAACATGGCACATGTATACATATGTAACGAACCTGCACGTTGTGCACAGGTACCCTAAAACTTAAAGTATAATAATAATAAAATAAAATAAAATTTTTAAAAATCAAAAAAAGAAAATAAATACATAAATCAACACTGGGGGAAATATAAGTTCTGAAAATGAACTTATACCAGAATACATAGAGAATAAAAAGTCATAAGTAATTAATGAAAATAGATAAACAGCATAATTTTTTAAATGTCAAAACATTGACCAAATACTTTGCAAAGAAAGACATACATATGCCCAATATTCCCATTAAAAAAGTTTTCAACATTATTCTCCAAGGAAATAAAAATTAAAACCACAATGATAATGTGATTTTAGAATGTCTAAAATTTAAAGGACTGCCAAAACTAAATGCTGGCTAGAATGTGGAGCAAATGAACTCCAATACACTGATGATAAATGTGGAAAGCAATATGATGGTTCTTATAAAATTAAAAATCCTTCAATTCTATGATCCAGAAATTTGACTCCTAAGTATTTAGCCAGGACAAATGTTTTTCAGCAGAACAGATCAGTAATTTCAGTACACTCATACAATGAAATACTGTTCAGCAATGAAAAGAGTGAAGTGCAGATACACCCAACAAAGTGGATAAATCTAATGAGAGAATCCAGACAACAAAGGAGTGCATGCTGTATGACTCAATCTGCATGAAGTTCAGTAGCAATCAAAGCTAACCTATAATTTCAAAGAAAAGAAAGAAAGAAAGAAGTGTTGTGTTTCAGGGCAGGTATTTGCGAGCTAGGGACACAGGGAAACTTTCTGGGGGCAATGAAATATTGGTAAAGATGTAGATTACATGAATTCATGCATTTGTCAAATCTAATTGAAACGTATACTGCATTTCACAGTATGAAAACTACACTTCAATTTTTTAAGTTAAAAAGTATATAGACTTTGTTTTTCTAATTTAGCTATAATTTTTTATTAAAAATTAAGTACTATAAAAGCAACACTTAAAAAAGTTGTTTTAAATGTTTTCATTTTCCTTTGGATATGTACCTAGTAATGGGATTGCTGGGTCAAATGGTATTTCTGAGACACATGCACACGTATGTTTATTGCAGCACTATTTACAATAGCAAAGACTTGGAACCAACCCAAATGCCCATCAATGATAGACTAGACAAAGAAAATGTGGCACATATACACCATGGAATACTATGCAGCCATAGAAAAAGAATAAGTTCATGTCCTTTGAAGGGACATGGATGAAGCTGGAAACCATCATCCTCAGCAAACTATCACAAGGAACAAAATCAAACACCTCATATTCTCACTCATAGGTGGGAGTTGAACAATGAGAACACTTGGACACAGGGAGGTGAACATCACAAACTGGGGCCTGTCGAAGGGTTGAGGGAAAGGAGAAGGAGAGCATTAGGATAAATACCTAATGCATGCAGAGCTTAAAACCTAGATGACAGGTTGATAGGTGCAGCAAACCAGCATGGCACATGTATACCTATGTAACAAACCTACATGATCAGCACATGTAACCCAGAACTTAAAGTAAAATAAAATAAAATGCTATCTATCTATATATAGCATTTTTCAATGCTGTTTATTAAAAGCTATATACACACATGCAAAAAATGCTCTCATTTTCTCATATATTTGTATTATTTTAGATTACATTTGACGTGCTAACCTTAAAATATCATACAAGTTAACATGTTCTATGGTTCATTCCACTATACCATTCATGCTGGATGAGATTCATCACACAGAAGTGTGGCCACACCAGAACTGGTCTATATTCAACAACATGAGAGGGAAGATTGCTGGGTCAGTGGTATGGCAATGTCAAATGGCTCTAAAAGTTTTGAAACTTATTCTCAATTTTTATGTATATCTTTTATGAAACCAGCAACAAACATTTCCCGGATTACACTGATCCTTATGCTACCTTTTGAGTAGCAGAGTTTTAGTTGAGATCCTCATTGGAAAGTAAATGGAGAAAATATATTCTTAGAAAAGAGGAGGCTTAAGCATATGTTAGACTTCTCAATGTTATTTGGGGAAAATGCTTAATTTTGTGGTATTCTTATTAGGACAAATTCTAGGATCAGTTTCTTTTATAGAGAAAATAAAATAAATGTACATGAAACCTTCTAATTCTACTCTAAACACGTTCCAATAACAGGAAAAAATTAAACTTTATGTAACCACCAGAGTCAAAAATAATATTAAAATTCCTGAAAACCAGAAATAGAATTGAAACCACAGTGATTACTGATGACTAAATGTAGAAGACTATGGAATATTGAAAACAGAAATAGTCAGTGGAGATAAGGATTTCAATCCCAGTCAAGAATGAGGACTTAACATGCCCAGTAGGGACAGGAGACAGGAACTAGGTTCCCCACAGGCAATAGAGACATACTTATAATCTGACTGATAGAAGCTGGTAGAAGCTGGTGATAGAAGCTGAAAGTACCATGACTACTTAGTTGGGATGTATCCAGAAATAATGCGCTTACTCATGGCAAAGGCAGCAAAGCAAATGCACACAAATGAATAATAATTAAGCCAAGCCATACGCTTTGTGGGACCTTACATTATAAATATAAATAGGAACATAATAATACATTATAAATATAATATCCATCAGAACAAGGACTCCTAATACAAAAGTACATAACAGGGAGGGGATCTCTCCATGGACTCCAGATGGTGGTTGTCTGTGATTGTCACATGAAGAGTTGCCCATAACTTTGTTCCAGTTTATTAACCCAGGAAATTTCTCTGAAATATGATTTTAGTTGGATTTGGCTTGAAAAAAGCCACTAGGGAAATTTCTTCCCTTTGGAGACTCATTAGTTAAAAGAGACATCATATAGGGCACAAAATTATGTGGATAAATCAGGCTGAATCAGAGAATCGCCTCTGAGTAAAAAGAAGAATGCAGACACAGAGCCTGGTCTTCCCATGCAGGAGACTGGTTTAGGATAACTGCGTGGTATTCTTTTTTTCTCTCTCTCTCTTTTTTATTATTATTATACTTTAAGTTTTAGGGTACATGTGCACAATGTGCAGGTTAGTTACATATGTATACACGTGCCATGCTGGTGCACATATACACCATGGAATACTATGCAGCCATAAAAAATGATGAGTTCATGTCCTTTGTAGGGACATGGATGAAATTGGAAATCATCATTCTCAGTAAACTATCGCAAGAACAAAAAACCAAACACCGCATATTCTCACTCATAGGTGGGAATTGAACAATGAGAACACATGGACACAGGAAGGGGTATTCTTACTTTCTTGGTATCCTTCTTTCTTTTGCTGTATCCCAAGCACAGCTTTCTAAAAACTTCCCTCTTTTCCTGAACACCAGCCTACTCTTTCCTTTTTTGCTTGTTGTTTGTTTGTTTGTTGTTGTTTGTTTGCTTTTTTTTTTTTTTGAAACCAAGTCTCGCTCTGTCGCCAGGCCGAAGTGCAGTGGCACAATCTCAGCTCACTGCAACCTCCGCCTCTGGGGTTCAAGAGATTCTCCTGCCTCAGCCTCCAAGTAGCTGGGACTACAGGTGCGGGCCACCACGCCCAGCTAAGTTTTGTGTTTTTAATAGAGACGGGGTTTCACGATGTTGGCCAGCATGGTCTCGATTTCTTGACCTCATGATCCGCTTGCCTCGGCCTCCCAAAGTGCTGGGATTACAGGCGTGAGCCACCGCGCCTGGCTTTTGTTGTTGTTGTTGTTCTTGCTCTGTTCACCCACGCTGGAGTGCACTGGCACAGTCTCGCCTCACTGCAGCCTCCTACTCGTGAGTTCAAGCGATTCTCCTGCCTCAGCCTCCCAGGTAGCTGGGATTACAGGCACCTGCCACCACGCCCGGCTAATTTTTGTATTTTTAGTAGAGACGGGGTTTCACCATGTTGGCCAGGCTGGTATCAAACTCCTGACCTCAGGTGATCCGCTTGCCTCAGCCTCCCAAAGTGCTGGGATACAGGCGTGAGCCACCGCGCCCGGCTGTCTTTCTCATTCCTATGTAGATGTTTCAAGGTCATTACCTTCTGTTCACTTGTTAAAATATTTCTAGAAGATTTTACACTTCAAGAGTCCATGTATTCTTATCGCATTTTGTCCCTTAAGAACATGATATATAGGGCAGGAAAGCATTCTGAACGAGTTCCCTTAATCATCTATGGCAGAAACTTTTAGCATTTCTGAAAAAAAGTTTGCTGGTATAAATTTTCTTTGATGACTGATGAAATGAAATGAATTGCAAAGAGGTAAGGAACCATCTTCAGACGCTTTACTGTTTAACAACTAATTGGCTCTTCTATTTCCTGACTGATATTAACTTATACTGTTTAATACTTTATAGCAAGGGTAGGCAAGTTAGACCTAAAGTTAAAATCCAGCCTTCTTTTTACAGCCATTTAACAAAGAATGTGTTTTACATTTTTAAGAAAAAACGAGAGACAGGAGGGAGGAAGAGAAGAGAGGGAGGAAGGGAGGCAGGCAAATTATGTTCAAACAACTGATTTGGCCCATGATGCCTAAAATTTTACAATCTGGCCCTTTATAACAAAAGTTTGCCAATCCCTGCTTTCAACTGTAGGGAGCACAGTTGAAAAAGAATTGAATAACTCAAATAACATAATGGATTGGGTATCTACACTTCCCAGATGAAGAAAATGAAGCTTTGATTGTGGCTTACCCAACAGAGCCCAAACTCAGGTCTTCATTTGCTAGATTCAATATGCTTCAGCTTAAATCTCAACTCCACCACTGACCAGCTGCTTGATCTCGGACTAGTTACCTAATCTTTTGGGACCTCAGCTCTTTATTTGCAAGAAAGGCATTAAAATATTGCCTGTCCCATGGTGTTGCTGTGAAGTGTAACTGAATTAACACATAAAGTTAGCTTAGATACTGCCTAAATATCACGATGTAACTTATTATTATATTTGAAATGCTTTTTACAGCATCTAAAGAGGCTTTTATGAAATGTTAGTTGAACTGTGTGAAAAAACATTTCATACAGAAATAAATTTTTTTAAAAGAGTTAAATTTATACATATTTCTCATGTATAATACATAATTCTCAGAGGCTTTTAATGCTAATATCATTGTGGATCACAAAGAGATACAATTTTTAGTGTTTCCCAAATGTGCTTGACTATGGATATATGCATCTTTGTACCTACTTATGTTTTTATGCGTTACTCTATTTATCTATGGATCTATCCATTCATCTGTCTATCTGTCTATCTATGCATCTATGTATCTGTCTATCTATCTATCTATCTATCTATCTATCTATCTATCTATCTATCTATGTATTGTTGTATTTGGGAGAAGGAGTATTTTGTATCTATTTTTCTAAAAAGATAATTTAAAAAACCTTAATTTAGAAGATTTTTTTCCCAGATTTCATTAAATGTCAGATCTCCTTTATATGACTGGGGACACGGCCTTTTTTTTTTTTTTTTTTTGAGACGGAGTCTCGCTCTGTCACCCAGGTTGGAGTGCAGTGGTACAATATCGGCTCACTGCAACCTCTGTCTCCCAGGTTCAAGCGATTCTCATGCCTCAGCCTTCTGAGTAGTTGGGATTAAAGGCACATGCCACCACACCCAGCTAATTTTTGTATTTTTGTAGATATGGGGTTTTACCATGTTGGCCAGGCTGGTCTCAAACTCCTGACCTCGTGATCTGCCCGCCTCGGCCTCCCAAAGTGCTGGGATTACAGGTGTGAGCCATCATGCCCGGCCAACAAAGACTCTTTTTAATATAATTTTATTTCATATTCCCCCACAGAGCTGAGAATATGATTTCAGCATGTAAAATGCTCAATAAAGGCCAGCTAGCTTCCTTGCTTATCTGCTTGCTCACTTGTCAGCAATTAGCCTGATGCAGGGCTAACCATCTTGTAATTGAGAAACATGCACAGTTCTGCAGTAGTTCATAGGAGGAACACCTTATCCTGAAGGTGAGAGGAAAATGAGAATTAGGGTTGCTTTCTAGATAACTGATTTTTGAGCTGAATCCTGAGCTGCAAGCTGCAGAAATTAGCTAAGAAAATGAAAGAATGAAAAGGTTGTCAGGCTGAGGGAGTTTCCATGATTTCAAGGAGATAAGATAGTATTCAAGTGATTGGAGAGGGTAAGGGAGTGGGAAGGGGTGAGCCCCTATTAAAAGCTAAACATACTAAGCGAAATAAGTCAGTCACAAAAAGATAAAAACTGTATTATTTCACTTATATGAGGACCCCAAAATAGTCAAAATTATAGAGACAGAGAGTAGAACAGTGATTGCCAGAGGCTGGGGATAGGGAGAAATGGTAGTCGTTGTTTAACAGTTTAGAGATTCAGTTTTGCAAGATGAAAAGAGTTCTGGAGACAGATGGTAGTGAGGTGATGGTTGCACAAGAATATAAATGTACTTAACACTGCTGAACTGCACTTAAAATGATTAAGATGGTAAATTTTATGTTACATGTGTTTTGCAATAAAAAACATGTTCTCACTCATAGATGGGAATTGAACAATGAGAACACATGGACACAGGAAGGGGAACATCACACTCTGGGGACTGTTGTCGGGTGGCGGGAGTGGGGAGGGATAGCATTAGGAGATATACCTAATACTAAATGACGAGTTAATGGGTGCAGCACACCAGCATGGCACATGTATACATATGTAACTAACCTGCACATTGTGCACATGTACCCTAAAACTTAAAGTATAATAATAATAACAATAAAAAAACGTTTTGGGAAAGAAAAGCTGGGCACAGCACAGGGCACTTTCCATATATGGTTTTTTTTACTAATATTCACACTAGTTCTGCAAGATAGCTAAGAAAACTGCTTTGTAAGCTTTATTTACTAAGTAAATTTCACAAAGCCAGAGACCTGGCATGGGGCAGCGTCAGGATTAAACGCAGGTGGGAAGAGTTTAAAGCCTGCGTGTTTTCTTGTTGGAATGCATAGCAAGAAATTCCTTCACAGTGCCAGTGCCTTTAGAGGGATACTGAGGCAGGAGATATTTTTGGAGGCTTCTCAACTCTCAGTTCATAGAAGATTGCCTCCCTCTCCTACAAATTTAGACCCAGACAGAGTTTGGGTATTTGTTTCAGACACTGCAACAGAATTGTTCAACTAATATGTCTTTTCTGCGCATATTTTTGCAATGTCTATGACTAAATTGCAAAGCAATTGATATATATTAAAAGTGCAAAATCCAAGAACCAAAGATTGCAAGGTGGATTCCACCTTCTAATAATTAAGCTTGCTGGAATGAGGTCTTAGTTTTGTCCTTAACTATACATAAGTCTTCTATTACCTTTATGATTTCTCTTTTTGAGAATATAAATTTTGATCATCCAAAATAAACTTCAGTTATAGTAACAGGAAAATGATGTCAAAACAAATATTAGCCCATTATTCCAAAGCTGTGGTTATTTGAAAAACAGTAAGAACTGACATTTAGTGGATGTTTATAGGCACTAGCTTTAAGTGCCTTTTATTTGTTTTCATCATATCATCACAGAAACCCTATTGGCAAGTACATTTAATATTCCCATATTATAGGTGAGAAAAATTGAAGTATAAAGATTTTATGTAAAGTGTCCAAGATTACTTAGAACACAAGTAGTCTGATGGCAAAGAGCTCTGAACCACTCTGTTTTGCTATCTTGACTTTACTGTGTATTTAAGACTCATATATTCATGGGTATTTTTGTTTTATGGAACTGTCTCTCTATTCCTACACTTATTTTTCATTTCTGATGCAATTATAATACATTATGTATTTATGAAATATTATAATTTATGCAATATTTTAATTTTTAGTACAAGTTTCACTTTTGTTCTCTTTTAAACATCTTTCTTAGCATTTTAATGGTTTTTAACATCTACTTTAACATCTTATTCTCATTTAGCATGTAAATGAGAATATATCTAAATATTCTTATTTAACATCTACTTATTCTCAATTGATTATTCTTCCAAATAAACTTTAAAATCACATTATAAAGTACATGTGCATACACATACATAAATTCTCTTGAAATTCTTATCAGATTTTCAGCAAAATTGTGTGTTATTTTGAAGACACATAATATTCTTAAAATATTAAGTTTTACCATCAAAAAGCTTTAACAATTGCCTTAAATTTGTGTCAGTTATTACATGTTACATTTATTGATATTTTATATTTGTATGACTTTTGGTATTATAATTTTCTAACTAGTTATTGTCGATATGGAGACAACTATTGTGTTTTACGTATAGTAAAAGCCCTTTTATCCAAAGCAGCCAGTGCTTGATCAATTAATTGAAAAGTCAGTTACAAGGAAATTAATTTTTTAAATGTATACATTATAAAAATTTAACTTAAAACATATAAATGAACATTTTTACCCCTAACCCTCTGATGTATGATCAAGCCTTTTTGTGTATGTGTTTTGTGTGGGATGATTATTGCAAACTGAAGTTTTCTTATGTGAACCACATTCCCAAATCATTGTCTACAATTTGCAATATCAGTGTCTTTAAGGATTCTTGTGAAACAAAATGCATGCTACATTATCCAAGATTTTTATGATCTTTTCCCTCAAACACATATAGTAGCTCTGCCCATCTTAGCTAATTCATCAGTAAGTTATTGTTTGTTTGCAATTCATTTTTATCAAATAATTTCAAAATATTTACATTGATATCCATTGAAAGAATCCTTTCACATTCATGGTTCAATAGTGTATACAACGTTTCATGCACTATTAACTTTTGCAATATTAAGTGTACTTGGTTTATTGACAGTTGGAAACAAACACAGTTGACTTCACAAGCAAAAACCTCAAATGGTGGGAGTAGAAGTGTTCAGATGTACTGGAGTGAAATCTTGCTTAGAACTGGGTGTCCTATGGAATCTCCATAGAGGGAAAGAGAACAAAGTGACTAAATGGAAATTAGTTAATTATTGGTCATCTTAAGGAATTTCCATATTAGTTCTAACAATTTCTTAGTTGTCTTGAGGTTTTCATAGGGACAGTCAGATATCTATCATCTTTATTGGTTGGAGGACATGGCTTATTTCACTTTGTAGAACTTTCTGAAAAAACATTGAATAAAAGAATAATAGGTTTTCCATGGTGCTATTTTTTGCTTCTTAAAAACATTCTTTTGCTTCTTGAATCAATCTAAACATCTTTTTATAGGAGATATATGCCTATCAACATTTATTGTAATAATTGATATGTTTTATTCTGCTTCCCAAAACTTTTTAAAAAATATTTTTGTTCTATATAATTTCTTACCTATTTTTGTTTGCTTCTTTTTCTTTTGAACAATAGTTTCATTCTTTTATTTTTTTCTTATTTTGAGGGAAAAGATAGATGATAGACACAATGCATATTTGAAAAAGTACATTCTATTTGTACTTACTATTAGAGTAATTAATATTAAAAGGTAAAGAATATAAGTAGAATAAACTTTTCTACAATTATTCACATCTAAGTGATATTATAGTTTATACTGAATCATTTCTTAAACAGTTTGAGGAAATTAGCACAATATTACCTATCTTCTCCCCTACCCGCTTTTCATACTTTTCAAAATCAGTTGAGATATTAGATCCAGATTACTTTTTTTTTTTTTTGAGATGGAGTCTGGCTCTGTCGCCAGGCTGGAGTGCAGTGGCGTGATCTCAACTCACTGGAACCTCTGCCTCCCGAGGTCAAGTGATTCTTCTGCCTCAGCCTCCCAAGTAGCTGGAACTACAGGCGTGTGCCACCACATCCAGCTAATTTTTGTATTTTTAGTAGAGATGGGGTTTAAAAACTGTTTCCCATAATGCATTTTTCAAGAACTATACTTGAAATTTTTGCTCTTTATAAAACAATATTTGAAATAATTACATAGATATAACTGTGTTTTACTATGCTTTAATTCTCTCCACTTTTCTATTACAAATACCCAATATTGACTTTTAATTTTGATATTTTTAACTAACTAAAATTTTTAGTTGTTTTCAGCATAGATATGAAGGACAGAATTCCAGAGCATTGGCAAATCTAAAAAATTCCGACAATTTTATTGAGCATAGGATTCATTGATCAGAATGCGTTTTTCTTAAAACATCACATCCTGGGTTTTTATGCCACAAAATAGATATTTTAGATAAAAATTTGCCTGAAAGTAATTTTTTAGAAAGCAGAGTTTTTTTTTCTGCTATGGAATTTTTAGTTTCCTCATCATCTTTCCTTATTTCAGCTAGCTTCACTCTTGTGACTGCCTATCAAGCAACTAAATGCCTTTACGTGTCAATCTATTTGATTTCCAAACACAGTTGAAGTCTTACAGAAAATACTTCAATAAATAAAAATAAATAACATACGTCAGAATAAAATTGCAATAAAGTTGTATTCCCAGTCCTCTGTAAGACCAAAACACTGGGATTAATAAGAATGATTGAATCATCTAATATTTTATCTATAGACGTTTACCGTTATACAATTATGAAACTTTAGCAGAAACAGAGACCTAACTCATAAATCTATGTTTATTACATTTATATTTTATTGTGTATATTTAAGGTGTACAACATGATATTTTGATATACATATACATAGTGAATTATGTAGTATATTCAAGCAAATTAGCATATCCATCACCTCACATAGTTGGCACTTTTTTATGGTAGGAGCAACTAAAATCTACTCTCTTCACAAATTTTCAGTGCATACTACAGTATTAACTATAATCCTCATGCTATATATGCATTAGATCCTGCACTTATTCATCCTACACAGCTGCAAGTTTATACCTTTGGACTTACCTATCCTATTTCCTCTCCCTCTCTCCCCTAGTAACCACTGTTCTACTATCTTAAACTTATATTTTAAAGTAAACATATTTTAAAGTGTAATGTAGAAACACTTTAGAAATCTGTTTCCTTCTCTTCAAGAAAATACACATGAAGATTTTGGAGGAAAATAATTACCTATGTTTAACTACAATTAGAGTATCAGGTTGGGTGCAGTGACTCATACCTGTAATCCCTGCACTCCAGGAGGCTGAGGCTGGAGGATAGCTTGAGCCCAGGGGTTTGAGACCAACCTGAGCAAGCAAGAAAGACTCCATCTCTACAAAAAATATAAACATTAACTGGAATAGTGGAGTGGGCCTGTAGTTCTAGCTACTCAGGAGGCTGAGGTGGGGGAATCACCTGAGCTTGGGAAGTAGAGGCTGCAGTGAACTGTGATCACGCCACTGCACTCCAGCCTGGGTAACAATGTGAAACCCTGTCTCAAAAAAAAAAAAAAAAGGAATCTCAATGACAATTAGGTAATTCCCACCTCAGAAACAAAGTCCTCCCTCTTTATTTTACTCAGGCAATAAGGCAACTCAGCCAAGGACGGCTCAGTGCTTTTGCACAAGGCATGCTTGCGTGGTAACCTGTCTTCAACCAGTCTGCCCCACTGAGTTTGTGTTCCGTGTGTTCACCACAGTCCCTGAATTTCAGGTTCTTCTCTTCCTTCTCTTCCTCCTCTTCTACTTGATGATCCTCTGTGGCAACACAGCCATCATCTGGGTTGTGTGCACATACAGCGTTCTCCGAACCCCAATGTATTTCTTCTTGTCCAACCTGTCCTTTGTAGAGATCTGCTACACCACCGTTGTGGTGCCCTTGATGCTTTCCAACATTTTTGGGGCCCAGAAGCCCATTCCATTGGCTGGATGTGGGGCCCAAATGTTCTTCTTTCTCACACTTGGTGGTGCTGACTGTTTCCTCTTGGCGATCGTGGCCTATGACCGCTATGTGGCCATCTGCCACCCTTTGCACTACCCCTCATCATGACCTGCAATCTGTGCGTGCAGATGCTGGGCGGCGCTGTGGGCCTGGCCCTCTTCCTCTCCCTGCAGCTCACCGCCTTAATCTTCACCTTGCCCTTCTGCGGCTACCGCCAGGAAATTAACCACTTCCTCTGCGATGTACCTCCCGTCCTGCGCCTGGCCTGCGCTGCCATCCGTGTTCACCAGGCTGTCCTCTATGTCGTGAGCATCCTCGTGCTGACCGTCCCCTTCTTGCTCATCTGCGTCTCCTACGTGTTCATCACCTGTGCCATCCTGAGCATCCGTTCTGCTGAGGGCCGCCACCAGGCCTTCTCCACCTGCTCCTCCCACCTCACCGTGGTCCTGCTGCAGTATGGCTGCTGTGCCTTGGCATACTTGCATCCCCAGTCCAGCTCCTCTGCAGATGAGGATCGCCAGTTTGCCCTTGTTTACACCTTTATCACACCATTACTCAACCCTTTGATTTACACCCTTAGGAACAAGGATGTCAAAGGTGCCCTTGAAAAAAGTGCTCAGTACCAAAGGGACACCTGAGTCCTTCTGAAGGCTCCGAGAGACTGAAAGGGGCACCTGGGCATGGGACAATGGTAAAACTCTTCCATCCAAATGCTAGATTTGCCTTTATTGTATCAGAATTTGGACTTTCATTAATTCTCTGTGCCTGATGTACTTAGTTGCTACAGATCATTCTCATTTTTAAAAAAGGTCTCCCAAAACCTTAAAACTCCAAAAAGTGTAGACTGCTATCATTCATTTAACTCCAAATTTATAATTTTACCTTTCCTCTAAAGCAATATAAAGGGAAAATTTTATTTTAAGAAATTGGCTCATGTGACTGTGGGGGTGAAAGCAAAGAGGGGCCAGGTGTTGTGGCTCACACCTGTAATCCCAGCACTTTGGGAGGCCAAGGTGGGTGGATCCCTTGAGCCCAGGAGTTTGAGACCAGCCTGAGCAACATGGTGAAACCCCATCTCTACAAAAAAATATATAAAAAGTAGCTGGGCATGGTGGTACATGCCTGTATTCCCAGCTACTTGGGAAGCTAAGGTGGGAGGATCACTTGAGCCTAGGAGGTCGAGGCTGCAGTGAGCTGGGATCACACTACTGCACTCCAGCCTGGGCAACAGA
Organism: Homo sapiens; assembly: GCF_000001405.40. NCBI lineage: Eukaryota > Metazoa > Chordata > Mammalia > Primates > Hominidae > Homo > Homo sapiens. The sequence continues at coordinate 58,291,231 of NC_000011.10, read as the reverse complement.
GTGAGACCTTCTCTAAAGTAAATAAATAAAAGCAAAGAGGAATTGTGGGAGTCAGTCCTATTGTCCTATAAGGCAGTTACCTCAGGGGATGCCATTAGAGAAAAAGTAGAGTTAATCTCAGTCAAGGGTGAAGTGGCTGCTTTACTGGCAAAACACTCACCAGAATTCAGGGGTTCTATATTCCCAGCTTCATCAGAATCCTCTCATATGTCCCCATTTCAATTTTCTAGAGCCCATTTCTTCTCAATACATGCCCTCACTTTAACAGTACACATCTTGCAAGGATGGGAATTCGATATGCATTGTAAATCACCAGTTCACAGCATGAGATTCTGCATTTGGTAATCAAAAACCTCAGTTCTACCACTACAGGAGATATGGGTCACTTTGAGGACAGACATACAAGTTTTCACATCATTTATGCAGTGCTTGAGCTTAGAATTTGAGCTCCTGAACTCATCCTTTCTTTTCCACTTGGTCTAGTGAAATTATGTAATAGAAGCAGCCAGTCAATTTCATTATACTCATTAGTTTGACAATAGTATGTGAAAGTATTATATGCACGTTCACCCAGAACTTTGCCTCTTATAAATATTTGATTGGATGTATCCAATAGTGATATTTTGCATATCCCTATTGCCACATCACACCATGGACCTTTAGCATTATGGAAGGTAATTTGCTTACCCAAATCTACTGATTTAAATATTAATCTCATCTGAAAGATAATCTCACAGGAGTGTCTAGACTAGCAAAGATAACACATACAACTAACCATCACAGCCCAGAAGATGACAAAGAATCTGATATAAGTTTAAATCTCAATGGTATTATGTTTCTTCTATACAAAACTCTAAGGAAAGGCTTGTAACAATAGTTAACTATAGAAATAGAAACTCATCAGCTGGGCATGGTGGCTCATGCCTGTAATCCCAGCATTTTGGGAGGTCATGATAGGGGTATCACGTGAGGTCAGGAGTTCAAGACCAGCCTGGCCAACATGGTGAAACCCCGTCTCTACTAAATATACAAAAATTAGCCGGTCACAGTGGCGTGTGCCTGCAGTCCCAGCTACTTGGGAGGCAGAGGCAGGAGAATCGCTTGAACCCAGGAGGCGGAGGTTGCAGTGAGCTGAGATTGTGCCATTGCACTCCAGCCTAGGCAACAGAGCAAGACTGCATCTCAAAAAAAAAAAAAAAAAAAAAGGGAAATAGAAACTCCTCATGTGAAATATTGCTTTGAAACATAAAGCCATCAACTGAGTCTTAAATACAATATATATTTAGTTTCAAGAAATTCTAATTCTTACTGTGTTTTAATTTTTTATTGATAAATAGTTGCATATATTTATGGGATACATCATGGTCTTTTGAGATATGTGTACAGTAATCCCCCCTTATCTAAAGGGGATACATTTTAAGACCCCCAGCGAATGCACAAAACCATGGATAGACAGAACCCTATATATGCTATGCTATGTTTCTTTCATACATATATACCTATGATGAAGTTTAATTTTAAATTAGGCACAAAAAAGGTTAACAACAATAACTAATAGCAAAACAGAACAATTACGACAATATGCTAGCTTTGCAACTCTCGCACTTTGGAGGCCATTGTTAAGTAAAATAAGGGTCACTTGAACACAAGCACTGGGCTACAGCAACAGTTGATCTTATACATGAGACAACTAACAAGTGACTAACAAGAAGGTAGCACGTACAGTGTGGATATGCTGGACAAAGGGATGATTGACATCCTGGTTTGGGGAATTTCATCATGCTACTCAGAACAACATGCAATTTAAAACTTTTGAGTTATTTCTGGAATTTTCTATTTCATATTTTCAGACCTCAGTTGCCTATGGGTAACCAAAACCTCAGATAGCAAAACATGAAAAAGGGAAGACTATTGTATACAGTAGAAAGATTAAATCAAGCTAGTTAACATATCCATCATCTCACCGACTTATTTTTTTTTGTGGTGAGGATGTTTAAAATCTATTCGTTTAGCAATTTTGAAATACATGGTACATTATCGTTCATTGTGGTCACCATATAGTACAATAGATCATTAAATCTTATTTTTCCAGTCTAACTGAAACTTTATACCCTTCGATCAAAATCTCCCTTTTCTCCATCCTTCCCCAGTTTCCAGACTCTGGTAACTGCCTTTTTTATATTGATTCCATATCTTGGCTATTGTGGACAGTGCTGCAATGAAGCACTTCATAAAGACAATAGGATTTTCAAAATCCTCATAATCAAATATGCCTAATCAAATTTTAGTAGCTTGTTGTTTCAGACATGCTTTCTTCCAGCTTCAAGTCCTTCACAAGTTCTATTCCCTTTCCCCTTTGTTTGAACTGCTTTTCTCCATAATTTCATAGCTATTTTTTTTCTTAATTTACAGAGTTCATCACAAATGTCACCTCTTCAAAGAAGATGCTTTTCATGGCCTCTTCTTCTAATCATTCTCTATCCCATTAACTTGTTGTATTTTCTCCATGGAGTTTATCACTGTCTGATAATATCTCATGTACTTATTTAACCTGTTGATCATCTGTTTCACTAGATATAATGTGAATCTTGCCTGTTTTATTCATCTTTGTATCCCCAAAACTTAGAACAGTGATGGACACATCATATTACATATAAATATGTTTAATCATCAGTCAACGGTGAACCAAACTCTAAATAGGTGAACCTTAAGATTGTGTAATTATCACCTAGAGTCATAGTCACATCTCAAAGAGTACATATCAAACATATGTTCCATTGTAAAGATCTACTATACCAAGGAAAATGAGAAAAAGATAAATATAATAAGAACAAACATTTTTTAAATTAGCAGACTTTAATATGGCAAGATAATATCTGGGCAGGTACATGCTCAAAACCTATGAAATTTTTGTGGCATGTTGAGTGAATATGTATGCTTTCTTCAAATTCTGGAAAACCATAATAAGGGAGTTATTTTTAAAGTAACAGAGGAAAGTAACAAAAGAAAATTAAATGTCTTCCATTGTTCCTTTATCCAAGCCAAGGTATCAGAGCCTCCTTTTTTGCATATAAAATATAAATATAGTCTCAGTTTTCCAGGGCAGTAAGAATTTGGGACTTGGGCTGAACCTTGCTATGACAGACATAATGGGAATAAACTTGAAACAGGAGGCTCAGAGGACGGTGTTTAGGGAACTTTGTATTTGTTGGAAAATTATTTTGAGCACCAAGAATATTCCTAAAGGGTAATACTGGTCTTTATTTTGACATGTATACTCCAATATTCCATTGACTGGAGATGCTGCACTGTTTTAAACAACCAGGTCTCATGGGAACTCACTCACTTTCACAAGAACAGCACCAAGGGGATGTTGCTAAACGTTCATGAAAAATCCACCCTCCATCATCAAACCACCTCCCACCAGGCCCCATTTCCAACACTGGGAATTAGAAGTTGACATGAGTTTCGATGAGACACAGATCCAAACCGTATCACTGACTACAGTAAAATTCTCAAAGTTAATCATTATGACACAGATTGCAAAGACCTCCATCATAATATAGATAGCAGAATAGCCTTTAAATGTCTTTTGTTGTAGCCTTCTATAAACTGTGTCCTTGAAGAATAATTTTTTTTTCACAGTGCAGCCCAACTGTTGGATGCAAAGTTGTTTTCCTTAAAGGCCCCTAAACAAGTAATTTGACTAAGAAATAATCTTTTTCTCCTTTTTTATTTGTATAAATACAACAGGTAGAAGTGCAGTTTTCTTACATGGGTAGGTTGTGCAGTGGTAAAGTCTGAGCAGTCAGTGTAACCATCATCCAAATAATATTTTATCCATTACGTAGTTTCCTATCCCTCACCCCCTTTCCAGCCTCCCATCCTTCCAAGTCTCCAGTGTCTGCTATTGAACACTGTATGCCCACTGTACACATTATTTCTCTCCCACTTATAAGTGAGAACGTGTGGTATTTGTCTTTCTGGGTCTAATTTGTTTCACTTAAGGTAATAGCCTCCAGTTCCATCTATGTTCTGCAAAAGACATGACTTCATCCTTTCTTATGGCTGAATATTATTCCATTGTGTATATATACCACATTTTCTTTATCCATTGACCTGTGGATGGACACTTAGGTTGATTCCAAATCTTTGCTATTGATAATAGTGCTGTGATAAATATATGAGTGCAGGTATCTTTTTCATATGATGATTTCTTTTCTTTTGGGTAGATATCCAGTAGTGGGGTTGTTGGATCTAATAGTAGTTCTATTTTTAATTCTTTGAGAAATCTCCATACTGTTTTCCATAGAGGTTGTACTAATTTACATTCCCACCAACAGTGTATAAGCATTCTTTTTCTCTGCATCCTCACCAAAATTGACTTTTTAATAATAGCCATTCTGCCTGGTGTAAGATGATATCTCATTGTTTGCATTCTTTATCTGTCATTACTGACTTTCCATTTTGGGTAGGGACCATTGCTGGAGAGCTAGTGTGATCCTTTGATAGTGTCGTCACATTTGGATTTTTCACAGCTCAGAATTCTTACACTTCTTCCCTCTCATCTGGAAAGACTGACACTTCTAATATTCGTAATTATTTTCATGCAGATAGGATTTTTTGTTTGTTTCTTTATATATTTTTTTCTTGACATTTCCTCCCCTTCCTAGGGTGTGTGACTGTAGAATATGCTGGATAGGGTCTTAGGCTATGCACTTTCCTAGGCAGGTTTTATATTGGGCTGTGCAGTCTGGCCTAAAGACCAGTAGATGGTGCTTATGAGTAAGAGCCAGCTGTGGCCCTATATGTTCCTTTGAGAAGGAGCTCACCAAGTTAGTGTCTCTTTTGCACAGGTTCAAGGGTAGTCCTACTTGATGACAACCCACCAAGTCTCTCTGACACCTGCTCACCAGTCTTCCTGGACCTGAAATCTTGCTCAGATTTTCCAGAGCATTTTGCATTTCTGTAAGTGTGCCCATTGTTTTCTGAAGTTTTGATTTTTTATTTATGCTATTTCGCTGAATGTTTTTCCCTTCACTTCTTATATCATTTTTTTTTATTCCCTTACATTGTGCTTTGCCTTTCTCTGTTGCCTCCCTCATTAGCTTAATAACTAACCTGAATTCTTTTTCAGGTAAATCAGGGATTTCTTCTTTGTTCGGATCCATTGCTAGTGAGCTAGTGTGGTGTTTTGAGGGTGTTAAAGAACCTTGTTTTGTCATATTTCCAGAGTTGGCTTTCTGGTTCCTTCTCATTTGGGTAGGTTCTGTCAGAGGGAAGGTCTAGTGCTCAACGCTGTTGTTCAGATACTTTTGTCCCACGGGGCGTTTCCTTGATGTAGTACTCTCCTCCTTTTCCTAGGTATGTGACTTCCTGAGAGCTGAGCTGTAGTGATTGTTATCTCTCTTGTGGATCTAGCCACCCAGCAAGTCTACCAGGCTCTGGGCTGGTACTGTGGGTTGTCTTTAGAGTCCTGTGATGTGAACCACCTGCGGGTCTCTCAACACTTGCTTCAGTGGAGGTAGCAAGGGTGTGAAGTGGACTCTGTGAGGGTTCTAAGCTTTGGTTGATGAGTGCACATTTTGTGCTGGTTGGCTTCCTGCCAGGAGGTGGCACTTTCAAGAGAGCATCAGCTGTAGTAGTATGGGGAGGAACAGGCGGTGGACAGGGCCCTAAAACTCCCTAGATTATATAACCTTTTTCTTCAGTTACCAGGGTGGGTAGAGAAGGACCATTAGGTGGGGGCAGGGTTAGTCATGTCTGAGCTCAGACTCTAGTTGGATGGGTCTTGCTGTGGCTGCTGTGGGAGATAGGGGAAAGCTTCCCAGGTCAATGGAGTTGTGTTCCTAGGAGGATTATGGCTGCCTCTACTGTGTCCTGCAGGTTGTCAGGGAAGTGGGGGAAAGCCAGCAGTCACAGGCTTCACCCAGCTCCCATGCACCCCAAACGGCCTGTGTCACTCCCACTGTGCCCCTGCCAACAGCACTGAGTCTGTTTCCAGGCAGTGGGTGAGCAGGGCTGATAACTTGCCCCAGGCCACCCACCTCCCAGCTGTGAAAGCAAATATGGCTTTCCTTCTTTTCTGGCCTATGGAGTCTGCATGCTGGATTCACGCCCTCCCCAAAGTTCTGGCCAGGAGACTTCTCTATGGGTTCAAATTGTTACAAAGTTCAGCTGGAGGTTTCTTCCTCCCTAGGACACTTCCCAGTGCCTCTGGCAGCCCTCCTCAAAGACCCCTGAGAGGTGAGGCAGAAATGGCTTGCTAGGGGACCCAGCAAGCTCACAGGGATTTTCCTGCTGCTTCCTCTACCCCTGTATTTTGCTTGGCTCTCTAAATTGACTCCGTTCCCAGTAAGGTCAGAATCTTCTCACATAATCTAGACCTCAGATTCCCCAGTGGGGTGTGTGTGTTCAGGGGCAGATGATCTCCCTTTCCCACTTCCACAGTTTGGGCACTCACAGTATTTGGGGTGTCTCCCAGGTCCTGCAGGAGCAATCCACTTCCTTCAGAGGATCTGTGGGTTCTCTTGGCTTTCCTAGTGTATTCCTGCAGACGTTCTGGAGAAAAAGTTCACAATGCGAGACTCCACACGCTGTCCTGTCTGTCTGAGTGGGAGCTGAAATCTAGTCTTGCCTCCCATCTGCCATGATCTCCAAATTATAGTTTGCCTTTTTTCACTCAGACTATTGGATTTTTTGCTATTGTGTTGTTTGAATTCATTATATATTCTGGTGATTAATCCTTTGTCAGAGGGGTAGTTGGCAAATATTTTCTCCCATTCTGTGGGTTCTCTCTTCACTTTGTGGACTGTTTCCTTTGCTGCGCAGAAGCTTTTTAACTTCATGTTGTCCCATTTGCCCATTTTTGCTTTGGTTGTATGTGATTGAGAGTATTACTTAAGAAATCTTTGCCCAGACCAATGTCCTGGAGAGTTTTTTCAATATTTTCTTATAGCAGTTTTATAGTTTGAGGTCTTATATTTAAGCCTTTAATCCATTTTGATTTATTGTTTGTATATGTGAGAGATAGGGGTTTACTTTCACGCTTCTGCAAATTCAGTTTTCCCAGCATCATTTGTTGAAGAAACTTGTCCTTTCCCCAGTGTATATTCTTGGCACCTTCATTGCAAATGAGTTCACTGTAGATGTATGTATTGAGTTCTAGGTTCTCTATTCTGTTCCATTGTTCTATGTGTTTTTATGCCAGTACCATGCTGTTTTTGTTACTGCAACTCTGTAGTATAATTTGAAGTCAGGTAATGTGACGATTCTAGTTCTGTTCTTTTTGCCCAGATGGTTTTGGCTATTCTGGGTGTTTTGTGGTACCATAGAAATTTTAGGATTATTTTTTCCATTTTTAATTAGGCATAAGATAGCTCTTCAGCAAATTAGGTAGAGCCCTCACTAAAGTGTGAATCCAGTATCTTCTGGTTAAACTGTTTTTCTCAGTGAAATTATTTCATAAAGAATCTCTTTGATGATCTGGCAAGATGGCCAAATAGGAACAGCTACAGTCTGCAGCTTCCAATGAGACCAACACAGAAGGTGTATGATTTCTGCATTTCCAATGGAGGTACCCAGTTCATCTCGTTGGGATTGGTTAGATAGTGGGTGCATCCCACGAAGGGTGAAGCAGGGTTCAGTGTCACCCCACCCAGGAATTGCAAAGGACCAGGGAACTCCCTCTCCTAGCCAAGGGAAGCTATGATGGACTTTGCCATAAGGGATGGTACTATCTGGCCCAGATACTACACTTTTTCCATGGTTTTTGCAACCCACAGACCAGGAGATTCCTTCAGGCACCTGAGGGCCTGGGGTTTCAAGCACAAAACTGGGCAGCCATTTGAGCAGACACTGAGCTAGCTGAAAGAGTTTTTTGTTTTGTTTCGTTTGCATACCCCAGTGGTGCCTGGAACACTAGAGATACAGAACCGTTCACTCCCCTGGAAAGGCGACTGAAGCCAGGTAGCCAAGTGGTCTTGCTCAGTGGGTCCCACCCCCACAAAGCCCAGCAAGCTCAGATCCACTGGCTGGAAATTCCCACTGCCAGCACTGCAGTCTAAAGTCAACCTGGAATGCTCGAGCTTACTGAGTCTTGAGTAGGCAGTTTTCCCTGCACAGTGCAAAAAAAGCCACCAGGAAGTTCAAACTGGGCAAAGCCCATCACAGCACAGCAAAGTGTCTGTTGCCAGACTACCTCTCCAGATTCCTCCTCTCTGGGAAGGGTATCTCTGAAAGAAAGGCAGCAGACCCAGTGAGGGGCTTATAGATAAAACTTCCATCTCCCTGGGACAGAGCACTTGGGGAAAGGGGCAGCTGTGGGTGCAGCATCAGCAGACTTAAACATTCTTGCCTGCCAGCTCTGAAGAGAGCAGTGGATCTCCCAGCACAGTGCTCAAACTCTGCCAAGGGACAGACTGCCTCCTCAGGTGGGTCCCTGACCCCCATACCTCCTGACTGAGAGACACTTTCCAGCAGAGGTTGACAGACACCTCATACAGGAGAGCTTCAGCTGGCATCTGGCAGGTGCCCCTCTGGGATGAAGCTTCCAGAGGAAAGAGCAGGCAGCTATTTTTGCTGTTTTGCAGCCTCTACTTGTGATACCCAGGCAAACAGGTTTGGAGTGGACCTCCAGGAAACTCCAGCAGACCTGCAGTAAAGGGGCCTGACAGTGAGAAAAAAACTAACAAAGAAAAACTAATAATATCAACATCAACTAAAAGGATGCTCATGCAAAAACCCCATCCAAAAGTCATTAGCATCAAAGGTCAAAGGCAGATAAATCAAGGAAGATGAGGAAAAACCAGTGCATAAATGCTGAAAATTCCGAAAACCAGAATGCCTCTTCTCCTTCAAAGGATCACAATTCCTCACCAGCAAGGAAACAAAACTGGACAGAGAATGAGTTTGATGAACTCACAGAAGTAGGCTTCAGAAGATGAGTAATAACAAACTACTCCAAGCTAAAGGAGCATGTTCTAACCCAATGCAAGGAAGCTAAGAACCTTGATAAAAGGTTACAGGAACTGCTAACTAGAATAATCAGTTTAGAGAAGAACATAAATGACCTGATGGAGCTGAAAAACACAGCAAGAGAACTTCATGAAGCATACACTAGTAACAATAGCAACATCAATCAAGCAGAAAGAAGAATATCAGAGATTGAAGATCAACTTAATGAAATAAAGCATGAAGACAAGATTAGAGAAAAAAGAATAAAAAGGAATGAACAAAGCCACCAAGAAATATGGGACTATGCGAAAAGACAAAACCTATGATTGATAGGTGTGACTGAAAGTGACGGGGAGAATGGAACCAAGTTGGGAAACATATTTCAGGATATTATCCAGGAGAACTTCCCCAACCTAGCAAGACAGGCAAACATTCAAATTCAGGAAATACAGAGAATACCACTAAGGTAATCCAAGAGAAGAGCAACCCCAAGACACATAATCATCAGATTCACCAAGGTTGAAATGAAGGAAAAAATGTTAAGGGCAGCCAGAGAGAAAGGTCAGGTTACCCACAAAGGGAAGCCCATCAAACTAACAGTGGGTCTTTCTGCAGAAACCTTACAAAGAAGAGAGTGGGGGGCCAATATTCAACATTCTTAAAGAAAAAAAAAATTCAACCCAGAATTTCATATCCAGCCAAACTAAGCTTCATAAGTGAAGAAAAAATAAAATCCTTTACAGACAAGCAAATGCTGAGGGATTTTGTCACCACCAGGCCTGCCTTACAAGAGCTTCTGAAGGAAGCACTAAATATGGAAAGGAAAAACTGATACCAGCCACTGCAAAAACATATGTGAAGGAACTACATCAACTTATGTGCAAAATAACCAGTTAGCATCATGATGACGGGATCAAATTCACACATAACAAAACTAAACTTAAATGAAAAGGAGCTAAATGCCCCAATTAAAAGGCACAGACTGGCAAATTGGATAAAGAGTCAAGACCCATTGGTTTGTTGTATTCAGGAGACCTATCTCACATGCAGAGACACACATAGGCTCAAAATAAAGGGATGGAGGAACATTTACCAAGCAAATGGAAAGCAAAAAAAAGCAGGGGTTGCAATCCTAGTCTCTGGTAAAACAGACTTTAAACCAACAGAGATCAAAAAAGACAAAGAAGGGCATTACATAATGGTAAAGGGATCAATGCAACAAGAAGAGCTAACTATCCTAAATATATATGCACCCATATATGCACCCAATACAGGAGCACCCAGATTCATAAAGTAAGTTCTTAGAGACATACAAAGAGACTTAGACTCCCACACAATAATAGTGGGAGACTTTAACACCCCACTGTCAATATTAGACAGATTAACAAGACAGAAAATTAATGAGGATATTCAGGCTTGAACTCAGCCTGGACCAAGTGGACCTAATAGACATCTACAGAACACTCCACCCTAAATCAACACAATATACATTCTTCTTAGCACCACATAGCACTTATTCTAAAATTGACCTCATAATTGGAAGCAAAACACTCCTCAGCAAATGTAAAAGAACAGAAATCATTACAAACAGTCTCTCAGACCACAGTGCAATCAAATTGGAACTCAGGATTAAGACACTCACTCAAAACCGCACAACTTCATGGAAACTGAACCTGCTCCTGAATGACTACTGGGTAAATAACGAAGTTAAGGCAGAAATAAATAAGTTCTTTGAAACCAGTGAGAACAAAGACACATGGTACTAGAATCGCTGGGACACAGCTAAAGCAATGGTTACAGGGAAATTTATAGCACTAAATGCTTACATGAGACAGTGAGAAAGATCTAAAATTGACACCCTAACATCACAATTAAAAGAACTAGAGAAGCAAGAGCAAACACATTCAAAAGCTAGCAGAAGGCAAGAAATAACTAAGATCAGAGCAAAACAGAAGGAAATAGAGACACAAAAGACCCTTCAAAAAAAATCAATAAATCCAGGAGCTGGTTTTTTGAAAAGATCAACAAAATAGACCACTAGCCAGGCTAATAAAGAAGAAAAGAGAGAAGAATCAAATAGACACAATAAAAAATGATAAAGGGGATATTACCACTGATCCCACAGAAATACAAACTACTATCAGAAAATACTATAAACACCTATTTGCAAGTAAACTAGAAAATCTAGAAGAAATGGATAAATTCCTGGACACATATACCCTCCCAAGACTAAACCAGGAAGAAGTTGAATCTCTGAATAGACCAATAACAGGCTCTGAAATTGAGGCATTAATTAACAGCCTACCAAACAAAAAAAGCCGAAGACCAGACAGATTCACAGCCAAATTCTACCAGAGGTACAAAGAGGAGCTGGTACCATTCCTTCTTAAACTATTCCAAGCAATAGAAAAACAGGGACTCCTCCCTAACTTATTTTATGAGGACAGCATCATTGTGATACCAAAACCTATCAGAGACACAACAAGATTTCAATCTTGTTGTTGAAATTTGAAAACAAATTTCAGGCCAATATCCCTGATGAACATCTATGTGAAAACCCTCAATAAAATACTGGCAAAACAAATCCAGCAGCACATCAAAAGCCTTATCCACCATGATCAAGTCAGCTTCATCTCTGGGATGCAAGTCTGGTTCGACATACACAAATCAATAAACTTAGTCGATTGCATAAACATAACCAATGACAAAAACCACATGATTATCTCAATAAATGCAAAAAAGGCCTTTGATAAAATTTAACACCCCTTCATGCTAAAAACACTCAATAATCTAGGTATTGATGGAACATATCTCAAAATAATAAGAGGTATTTATGACAAACTCACAGCCAATATCATACTAAATGGGCAAAAGCTGGAAGCATTCCCTTTGAAAACCAGCACGAGACAAGGATGCCCTCTCTCACCACTCCTATTCAACATAGTATTGGAAGTTCTGACCAGGGCGTTCAGGCAAGAGAAAGCAATAAAGGGTATTCAAATAAAAAGAGAGGAAGTCAAATTGTCACTGTTTGCAGATGACACAATTGTATATTTAGAAAACCCCATTGTCTAAGCCCAAAAACTCCTTAAGCTGATAAGCAACTTCAGCAAAGTCTCAGGATACAAAATCAATGTGCAAAAATCACATGCATTTATATACACCAATAATGGACTAACAGAGTGCCAAATCATGAGTGAACTCCCATTCACAAAGAGAATAAAATACCTGGGAATGCAACTAACAAGGGATGTGAAGGACCTCTTCAAGGAGAACTACAAACCACTGCTCAAGGAACTAAGGACGCAAACAAATGGAAAACATTCCATGCTCATGGATAGGAATAATCAATATCAAAAAAATGGCCATACTGCCCAAAGTAATTTACAGATTCAATACTATTCCCATCAATCTGCCATTGACTTTCTTCACAGAATTAGAAATAAACTACTTTAAATTTCATATGGAAATTTCAAATAAGAGCCTGTATAGCCAAGACAATCCTAAGCAAAAGAACAAAGCTAGAGGCATCATGCTACCTGACTTCAAACTATACTACAAGGCTACAGTAACCAAAACAGTATGGTACTGATACCTACTCAGCTATATAGACCAATGGAACAGAACAGAGACCTCAGAAATAACACCACACATCTACAACCATCTGATCTTTGACAAACCTGACAAAAGCAATGGGGAAAGGATTCTCTGTTTAACAAATGATGTTGGGAAAACTGGCTAGCCATACGCAGAAAACTGAAACTGAACCCCTTCCTTAAACCTTATACAAAAATTAACTCAAGATGGATTAAAGACTTAAACTAAAACCATAAAAAAACCTAGAAGAAAACCTAGGCAATACCATTTAGGACATAGGCATGGGCAGAGACTTTATTACTAAAACACCAAAAGCAATGGCAACAAAAGCCAAAATTGACAAATGGGATCTAATTAAACTAAAGAGCTTCTACATGGCAAAAGAAACTATCATCAGAGTGAAAAGGCAACCTACAGAATTGGAGATTTTTGCAATCTATCCATCTGACAAAGGGCTAATACCCAGAATATACAAGGAACTTAAACAAGTTTACAAGAAAAAAACAAATGACCCCATCAAAATGTGGGCAAAGGATATGAATAGATACTTCTGAAAAGAAGACATTTATGTGGCCAACAAACATATGAAAAAAGCTCATCATCACTGGTCGTTAGAGAAATGCAAATCAAAACCACAATGAGATACTATCTCATGCCAGTTAGAATGGTGATCATTAAAAAGTTGGGAAACAACAGATGCTGGAGAGGATGTGGAGAAATAGGAACACTTTTATACTGTTGGAGGGAGTGTAAATTAGTTCAAACATTATGGAATACAGTGTGGCGATTCCTCAAGGATCTAGAACCAGAAATACCATTTGACTCAGCAATCTCATTACTGGGTATATACCCAAAGGATTATAAATCATTCTACTATAAAGACACTTGCACACATATGTTTATTGCAGTACTATTTACAATAGCAAAGATTTGAAAAACTCAAATGCCCACCAATGTTAGACTGGATAAAGAAAATGTGGCACATATATACCATGGAATACTATGCAGCCATAAAAAAAGAATGAGTTCATGTCCTTTGCAGGGACATGGATGAACCTGGAAACCATCATTGTCAGCAAACTAACAGAGGAACAAAAATCCAAACATTATGTGTTCTCCCTCATAGGTGGGAGTTGAACAATGAGAACACATGGACACAGGGAGGGGAATATCACCAGAGCCTGTCAGAGGGGTGTGGGCCTAGGAGAGGGATAGCATTAGGAGAAGTACCTAATGGAGATGATGGGTTGATGGGTGCAGCAAACCACGATGGCACATGTATACCTATGTAACAAACCTGCACTTTCTGCACATGTATCCCGGAACTTAAACTACAATAAAAAAGAGACACAACTGACAAAAAAAGAAACTCTCCAATCATTCACATAAAAATGTGCACACAAGCACATGTGAGCTCCCACTATATATATGTGTGTATATATACACACACACACAGATAATCTACTTGTAGATGAGATATATATAGATACAGATATCTAAAGAGGAGAAATGAGAGAAATAGCTAAGAATCTCGGCCTTACACATGACACAAAAATGTGAACAGAGAATTTTATGGAATGCTGACTTAACAAACATAATTTATGCCTGGGTGTACTACAGAGTTCACCTACAATAATGTAATTGTCTTTTGAATTTGCCCCATACTTTGTGTTAATGTGCCTATGTGCCATGTAGGTATGGAATACATAAATGAACTTGCCCATGCTTGTCCTAGTAAAGTACTAACTTTATTATCCCTTCTGGATAGTGATTTCTTAGAATAGAGACAGGGATTTGTGCTATAGGAAAGCTTTACAGACTGCCAAATTCAAAATAGTAGGATGAACAAACAAATTCTGGTTCAAACCTGAGTTTTTATAAAGTAGTATCTCTCTATGGGCTGTCAGCTGGCTCCCTGCATCAGCATCACTGGCAGCATTTGCTACCCCAAGGTCCCATACCCAATACAAACATAATTTATGCCTGGGTGTACTACAGGGTTCATTTACAATAATATAATTGTCTTTTAAATTATAATTCCCCCAATTACATTTGGGGGAATTGCTACCCCGAGGTCCCATACTCAATACCACCCACTCAGATCTTCTGCCAATAGCGTAAAAATATCCATTTAAAACAAATTTTCAGTGACTTTATGTATTATGTAATAATATTATGTATCTACATAACAATCCAAAGTTTATATGTCAAACATTTGCAAATCAAATCTTCTTTTTACATTGACCCACATTAAGATACCAGAGCTTATTTATCTTCATTTTTACTGATCTTTCTGAATCACTGTTAATCATCCTTAGGTTTCAGCTGTTGAGGTCACATCCCCAGTGATCCACCCCCCATGAAGCTTCTCTCTGTGAAGTCCTCGTTTTGTTTTGTTTTTTGCTTGTCTAAACTAGGACATGAAAGTCCCTAAGATGATGGCATTTACAGGAATTCCACAAGGAGGCTGTCTGCTTTGATAATTGTGAACCCCACTCACATTTTTGGAGTTTTTAATTTTCTTTTTTTAAATTTTGGTTTCTTAAAATATCGGCTTTCTTGAAGGAAAGTATGCCTGTATCCTCAACTCCTTTTGCTCAAGTTCCCTTTGGGATTAATTAAATACAGTCTGTATATCAAGGTGGAGGGGAGTAGAATTATTGCAGCAGCAAATTACTCATTTCATGAAGTACTTGGTCCATTACTATAGTATTTCCCGATAGTTACTTTGTAAAATATGGAACATTAGAACACCATTTTTGGTTGATTGGATACCTGAGTTTCCTTCATCTACTTCTCCAAATATTTTCCCCCAGAGAGATGATGAATGGGAATGTGAGTATTTGTGAGACTGGGGACAATGGCTCTAACAACACACCCCTGCTCTTATAGAAGGACAGTGGTTGAACCAGGATGCCAACCCATGCCAAGGCCAACCAAAGACTTATAACTTTCTATTTTGCTGTGGTCTGGTATTTTATATGCATGCGTGTGTGTGAATACATGTGATTATTTGTGCATCTGTAACTGCATAGCATGAAAGATGGAGAGACTTCTGGACAAATGGACTACTTGATGGGGAAAAACTAAAGAGACTTCCTTGGTGTGATATATTTTATCCCATTTTAATACATACACCCAAAAAAACTTTATATGTTGAAGTCCTAACCTCTGATACCTCGGAACGTGACTATTTGGAGACAATACATTTTAACTTAATTACTTAAAGAAGTAATTAAGTTAAATTACTTAAATTACTTAAAGAAGTAATTAAGTTAAAATGAGATCATTAGGGTGGACCCTAATCCAATATGACTGGTGCCCTTCTAAGAAGGACAGAGACATGTACACAAGGAAGACCATGTGAAGACACCGGGAAAAGACAGCCATTGGCAAGCCAAAGAGAAAAATCACAAAAGAAAGCAACTCTGACAACACCTTGATCTCGGACTTCAAGCCTCCAGAATTGTAAAACAATAAATTTCTGTCACAGAAGCCACCCAGTCTGTGGTACTTTTATGGCAGCTCTAGCAAACTAATACACATATCTACCAGACAAAAACTTGCAGTACCACTCTCTCACTCTCTAATGTAGCTTAGAGAATAAAAATGTTTTCATCACATAGTATTCAGAATCATTAAATATGTCATATTCTTCACACATACATGCATTGTAACAGCATTCTCCCTACCCAGTCACCTGAAAATAACTTTTGAAATCATGCTACACGATTTCCTGTTCCATAGTCTATTCTTTAGACTCTTACTTGAAGTCAGGAAGTAGCAGACCAAGATTTTAACATCATTATTGTCATATAATTCCATGTTCTACTTATAGAGGTAGAAGATTATAGGAGAAATTATTGAAGAAAGTACAAGAAGCCCTATATATTTTCACAGTCATACGTCCTCTATGTTACCCCCTCAGTTGTATCTAATTTCATAGCACGAGTTGTAGGACCCTTCACTTGTTCCCTTATTCCCCTAAGCAAGAACCCACATAGACAACTTGCTTCTGAAGAAAATTTGCATACATACAGAAGTTAATCTATATTATTCAAAATGGATAGTTGGTAAGGAGGAATTGTTGGTGTTTCATTAGAATTGATCAAGAAGAATGCTCTCATTCTAAATTAGATTACTATTCTTCATCCATTTAACTGAAGTATCACTACAACAGTAAAGAAAATGCATCAGTGTACCATGGATGGATGAGAAAAAGACAAATATACAGTCTAGACATCTACAATTCTATGCTCACCTGCCAACCTCCCCATCTTTATCTTGAGTTGAAAGATTCATTTCCATACACTTCCAGATGTGAATCTTGAGTTATTTATTTAATCATTTAATAAATAGTTTTGAGTATCTTCTATATGTCTGTTCCAATGGTTCTTAACTGGGCCAATTTTGACTGCCAGGGGACCATTTGGCAACATCTGGAGATATTTTTTATTAATACAACCAGAGTATGGTTACAATGCATGTATGTTTCATCTAGTGGGTAGAAACCAGGATGTTGTGAAACAAATATCCAGCCTAAAAGGTCAGCAGTGCCCAGGCTGGGAAATCCTAGTCTAGCCTTTTGTTACTCATATTATATGCATACAAGTTGAGAAAAAGGAGACTTGGTTGTTGCCGTCACTGCGCTTATACATGAATAGGAGAGATAGAAGTTAATCAAATAGTAAACAAATATAAGTAAAATTGTAATGGTTGCAATGATTGAGAGGTCAGTGAGATTCCAAAAGGAACATTCCAAAAGATGCATTTGACCCTGACATAACCAAGGTCAAAAAATCTTCCCTGAGGAAGTTGTCATACAACTGGGACAAAGGATAATTAGAAGCTTATTAAGTAAAAAGAAAAGAGAAAAGACATTCCAAGCAGAGTCAACAGTCTGTGCAAAGGTCTGGTGGTGAGAGGAAGCATGGTGAGAAGAAGGGACTGAATGAAGGACAGAGTCACTGGAGAAAAGAGGAGACTAGAAGTTAGCAGAGATTAAACCTTATATTGGCTTTGTAACCTATATTATGGTTCATCCTTGTATTATAATATATGCCAGATTTCACTTTCACTGAAAAGCAATTGAGGTTTTTTAGTACCCCAAAAGCTACTGACATAAAAAAATTGTTTAAAGAATACAGAGTCGTGTCAGAAAGACTCAGCCAACTTGAAGAGGTTCCCACTAGTCAAAAATGGAGTAACATTATGAGGATAACTACAATGGAGAGGGAGGAAGTTCTAACTATTTTTAAGTCAGAGCATGTGGAGAGATTTCTGGAGTGGCTGTCAAAGTTCTTTCCCTTGATCTGAGTGGTGATTACAAAGGGATTTGACTGATAATATTTCACTAAGCTATATGGTTGTTTTGTGTGGTCTTTCTTCTGTGTTTTTGTTTTATTTCACAATAAAAAGCTATGAAAAATTTTTTAAAAAGCAACTGAGGGCAATGTGGCTGGGTGAAGTTTGATGTAGAGGGAAGAATATACCTTAGGATCAGGCAAACTTCATTTCAGCTACTTGCCGCATCTATTCTTGGACAACAGGAATAACAATAACTTCGCAGGCTTATTACAAGGATTAAATGATATAATGTATACATGTGATACCAATAGTATCTCCTTCTTAGTGGTGTTGCACAAATGAAATTACTTAATATGTGCAAATTGTGTGGAATTTAGTAAGTGCAATATTAGGCTTAGCTGTTATGATTATTATACTGCTTGGCACATAGCAAATAGTTAATACATTTTGCTTCCTACCCCTCCCATTCCCTCTCTCCTCCATTTATTGGCACCAAAGGTACCTCAGGAGTCCCTGACTCTCTCAGATATCCCAGCCCTGATTGCTGTTGGGATCTGGCCGTCCTCTCCACAGACACACAGACACACACACACACACACACACACACACACCCCAAAGAACTACCTTAGTTACTCTAGACCTCTTCAGAATTGCCTGTGAATAAGTGGGCACTTGGATACATATATTCACACACAAACATGTAAATATATGTTATAAAAATATAAATATTTTTACACATGACCAACCAACATTTTTTCAAAGGAATTAAACTAATTTGCTAAGATCTATGGGAATGTCTCTGCTCAAAGAAAATTAACAAAGAAGGATATCATGGAAAGTTTAATGTATGAAACCTATTTAATTGCATAATAAATGTTAATTTATTATGATCAGGCAAACAACGTGATAATTATTAATTGAAGCACTATTAATAACATAACAGTATGCTAGGACCCATAGCAGAAAGATAAAAATAAAGTCTCAGTTCTCTGGGGCAAAAATAATTTGGGAATTATTATTACAACAGACATGGTAGGAATAGACTTGAAACAGAAGGCTCAAATGGCCTTGATTAGGGAACTTGGTGTTTTTCAGGAAATTATTTTGGGAACTGAGAATGTTACTAAGTGGTTGAATGACAAGCATACTCTAGACCCTCCATGTGACAGGGGATTTCAAGTGGAGACACAGTTTTAGTTTGGACTAATTATCTGGTAACAGGAGACGAGGTCAACAATCACTAAGCTACCTTCTTCTGGGAGATGGAACTTATGAGACAAGACCCTAGATTACAAAGCAATTGACTTGCTACATGGCTTTTGTTTGGGAGGTTACATAAGGCTCAGTCCCACTGGGCAGGCTTTCCAGGCTCATGACCCTCCGTTCTTGATCTACCAGAGCAGTCAGACATCACTGCTAGGTCCTCTCTTTTATGAATATCCCAGCGGAGGCTGGCTCAGTGTATCTCTCTCCTTTTCCAAGTTTAAGGTAAGAGAATCTCTTACCTTCTTCTAGATTTGCAGTGTTCCAACACTGACTGACACTGAGCTAGAAAAGTAAAATAGTGGCTTTACAAATAAAGACTACAGGATTTCAGAACTAGTTCAGCCTATGACTTACAGTGTTTTCTCTGAAATTCACTGGGAAGCCCAATTTTTCTGGTTAGAATGGTAATAACTAATCTCGGTCAAAGAAATTTGAGGGATTTAATAAATATAAATTGCTACAAGGTTTAAGGGTTAATAAAAACTTTTTATTCATATGGTACCCCATTTAATCTTCTGCTGTAAGGAAGATATTATTATCATACCCTTAATAGATACAATGAAAGCAGGGAAGAATTAACATTTATTATGCAACTAAATAGGTTTCATACATTAAACTAAGTGTTTTATAAATACTTTATCTCACCTAATTTCATCACAACTCCATTATGTAAGTATTATTATTTGCATCTTTTAAACATGAGGAAACAGAAATTAACGTGAGATGATCTTCCAGGGGATTATGTTATTAATAGTACACTGAGAATCTAGCTCAGGTTTGTTGAATGACAAATCCACTAAACCCCTTTTTTACACAATTCTTACTAGACATTTGTAGAGTTGTTCTAGCCTAGAGTATCTGGATTTCCAGAATGAACAGAAATAATGTATCTCAGGACATTCTTGCCAACTTGAGGAAGGCTACCTGGAAAGGAAAGAAGGAAAGTAAGAGAATGATGTGAAGTTTGACCTGGAAACACTGAGATCTTGGGGGAGGTTTCTGAGGATGATGAAGTGTTCTTATCTTGCGTCTGTCCTATGCAACATATTTAGTAACAACTTGGAATGGCAAGTTGATGGATGTGTTGATAAAACAATTTTCACTGTCTTGGAACCATGAACTCCACTATTTTATCTGTCTAGATCTATTTAATGTAACCATTCCTGTGATCTGTCACAGGCTGCACAATTTTTTAAAAGATATTTTAAATGAGAACACTTCCAGAGCTTAAATTGTGAGACACATCAAAACCATGTCATATGAGAAATAGCAAAAGGAAATTAGGAAGAAAAAAAAACAGGGCTACAGGATAACAGCGCTTTAGCATCTGGTGTTTTGAGTAGAAACGGCCATATTGGGCCGGGTGCGGTGGCTCACGCCTGTAATCCCAGCACTTTGGCGGGTGGATCACCTGAGGTCAGAAGTTCAAGACCAGCCTGGTCAACATGGTGAAAGCCCACCTCTACTAAAAATACAAAAAATTAGCTGGGCCTGGTAACAGGCACCTGTAATCCCAGCTACTTGGAAGGCTGAGGCAGGAAAATCGCTTGAACTCAGGAGGCAGAGGTTGCAGTGAGCTGAAATCATGCCATTGAACTCCAGCCTGGACAACAAGAGTGAAACTCCATCTAAAAAAAGAAAAAGAGAGAAAGAGAGAAAGAAAGAAAGAAAGAAAGAAAGAAAGAAAGAAAGAAAGAAAGAAAGAAAGAAAGAAAGAAAGGGAGAGAAAGAGAGAAAGAAAGAAAAAAATGGCCATATTGTGTAGAACAAAGGAACATTTAGAAGTTGCACAGAGGCAGGCTTCAGTTTATTACAGAAATGACTTTCAGAGAATCCAGTCTTTCCACAGCAGAGCAAGCAAACCAGGAGATAATGGGATTCCCTGGGCATTGAAGGTGACCCAGTGTCTACACACTGTATTGGAAATTCAAGTATCTAATAACTGGGGATCAAATTGGCCATTTTTGAGGTCCCTTCTTGCAGTTAGAATTTATGACTTATAATAGCTCTGATGTAAATATTTTAAATATTTTATTATAGGTGGAGTGTTCAGATTACAAATATTATAGAGAGCAGTATTCAGATGATAACTATATGACATGACGGATATGCTGATTAGCCTGATTTGATCATTCCACAATGTGTATATGTATCAAAGCATCACATTGTACAATTATTATTGTCAATTAAAAACAAAATATAACTTTTTGAAAAGATGATATGAATGTAATAGACTACAATAAAATTCTCAGAAGTTGTCATTGTGACACAGATTTCAAACTGTCTCTGTATAATAATATAGATGGTAGACTAGCCTTTAGATGTGTGCCTGTTGTAGACTTCCATATGCTATGTTCTTGAATGATAGAATTATTTCCACAGTGCAGCCCAAATCTTAGATACGAAGTTGTTTTATATAAGGACTCCTAAACAAGTGATTTGATTATGAATAATCTTAAATCTTTCATTGCACGGCAAAGTGAAAGTAGAAAATGAAGAAAATGTATAAATAACATTTTCAAGCTGTATTATCCATTCGACATATAATTATTGAGTGTCTAAAATTTGCACAACATTAGGCGTGCTTATATGGGATGATCAAAATGTAAATAAAGCAGAATGGCTGCCCTTGAATTTATAAATAATAATGATGATTATCTTTTATTAGGTTGCCATTACTATGGACAGTTCATTGTGATATCTTACATTACTATTGCATTTAAACTTACAGCAATTCTTTTGTCTAAGTATAATTATTATTCCCATTTTTCAAATACAGAAATTGAGGCTTAGAGAAATTATATATTACCTAACATCATGAAGCCAGGAGCTGGAATTATTCAAACCACATCACTTCCCTTCACTGCTGATTTCACATTGATACACTGCCCCTCCTCCACATGATATAGTATAATGTGCAATATGCTAAGTGGCATTAGAAACCACTCAAAGCATTATTGAAGTTCAGCTCAGGAAAAGAGACCAACTGAAATAGATACCACTTGTTAGCTGTTGGAAAAACAGCAGAGAGCCATTTCTGCCCTAGGTGCTCTTAATATTTGTAGCTGCCTACTCATATTTTTCCCCATGCTTGTGACACTGAGGTGGGTTTGTGTGAATAATTTTTACTGGAAGTGGTGCCTCTGGGTAGAGATTTCTCTTCAAATCTCATATTCAATGACAGGAAATATTAAAATTTGGCACGTTGAAACAAGGCCACACATTACGTCTTTTCCACCTTATTTAATATGAGTTGGTCTGGGAAAAGAAGTGGAATGGATGCCCTTTGCAAATTACGTCTGTTTATTAAAAGGTTTTTGTGGAAAAGATATGGCTTCTCCCAGATTTCACATTAGCTTCTGAGAAATATGAAAAATAGATGGGCTTAGACTTTCATAATCATGCCCAAATTCACAGGAAGGCTTCTTAGATTTCCAACATCTTGGGATCACATATTTTCTCATACCTCCACCCACGCCAGGAGGAAACATATGATAAAACACCTTGTTTCCTTCAAGCCTTATACTTCTGGTCAGATAAGGATAGAAAAACCAATAGTAGACAGGGCTTTGCTTTCTGAGGCGTATCCCTGACACTGTCATACTCAGGCCTCTGTTAGCCCTTTGCTTCATGGGTAATTTTTTTTCTTTCTTCACTTCCCATCACTAGTTTTGAGAGTTACATTGACATATCACTTATTCAATACCCCAGGAGATATTGAGTGTAAATATTAGGTTGGTGCAAAAGTAATTGCAGTTTTTGCCATCAAAATGGCAAAACCGCAACTACTTTTGCACCAACCTAATAAATATGTGAATGAATAAGTGAATGAATAAATGGCTTATCTCCCTTACCTTAATGATTTCTAGCCCCAAGAATTCCTTGACACTTTCTTGTGAATTTGCTGAAAGAATTGAATTTTCATTCCACTCTTTCTGAAAATAGCTCCTGAATCCCACCCACTTCCTCTGCCATTTTTCTTCAATAGTATCTTACATAGTTTGGCCCAACTCTTGGCAGGTAGAAATTGAGGTGTAGATATTAATGTGGAGAAACTTGGTAAAAGTGGAGAAAAGAAAAAGAACTAGTCTTGATCCTTCCAGTTTCTAACTCCAGTGCTGATTACATTAGATTCATGGCTCAGAGTGTAACTTAATTTATCTTCAGTCTGATTCTTCCTTCTGTACTTGTAGCTCTCCACAGAGAAATACTGTTAGCTCAATTACCTGGGAAAATCACTCAGTGTTGATGGAATTTGTGTTCCTGGCCTATCCCTCCTGCCCAGAACTGCATATTCTGTCCTTCCTTGGGGTCAGCCTGGTTTATGGTTTGATCATCACTGGGAACATTCTCATTGTGGTGTCCATTCACACAGAAACCTGTCTATGCACATCCATGTACTATTTCCTGGGCAGCCTTTCTGGGATTGAAATATGCTACACTGCAGTGGTGGTGCCCCATATCCTGGCCAACACCCTACAGTCAGAGAAGACCATCACTCTCCTGGGCTGTGCCACCCAGATGGCTTTCTTCATTGCACTGGGCAGTGCTGATTGCTTCCTCTTGGCTGCCATGGCCTATGACCGCTATGTGGCCATTTGCCACCCGTTGCAGTACCCTCTCCTCATGACATTGACTCTTTGTGTCCACTTGGTTGTGGCATCAGTCATCAGTGGTCTGTTCCTGTCCTTACAACTGGTGGCCTTCATCTTCTCTCTGCCATTCTGCCAGGCTCAGGGCATTGAGCACTTCTTTTGTGATGTGCCACCAGTCATGCATGTTGTTTGTGCTCAGAGTCACATTCATGAGCAGTCAGTGCTGGTGGCAGCCATACTAGCCATTGCTGTGCCTTTCTTCCTCATCACCACCTCCTACACCTTCATAGTGGCTGCTCTGCTCAAGATCCACTCGGCTGCTGGCCGCCACCGGGCCTTCTCCACCTGCTCTTCCCACCTCACTGTGGTGCTGCTGCAGTATGGCTGCTGTGCCTTCATGTACCTGTGCCCCAGCTCCAGCTACAACCCCAAGCAAGATCGGTTCATCTCACTGGTGTACACATTGGGAACCCCACTGCTCAACCCACTTATCTATGCCCTGAGGAACAGTGAGATGAAAGGGGCCGTAGGGAGAGTTCTTACCAGGAACTGCCTTTCCCAGAACAGCTAGGAAAGACGAGGGGACAGCCTATCAGGCAAGTATTTGGTTCCAGCCCACCAAATCTGTATGAAACTGAGATTTCTATCATTTGGTGTTAAAACTCATCTAAAAGATGGTATAAATTATATGGATACTGTTTATGTGTGCCAAAGATTTTTAAATATTTCTACAATTTGACTCTGTAATTTCTCTTCTTGGAAAGAACTACATGAGCATAAAGTGATATAAAGTGGCAAGTATAATACTTTGTCCAGTTACCAGCTGAGAAGAGATAGCTCACTCAATAGATTTTTAACTAAAAAAATATTTAAAAAGGGTTATCTGCAGTGGTTATAGGTAAGGAAACCAATAAAATGTGGCAGAGCACTAACACGCTAGCAATAGCAGGAAGCTTTCTCAGCCCTAGACTTAAAAGGTGTGCCATAGAAGAAGGGTGCAACATTATCAGAGTCCAGTGACAGTTAGATCTAAGCAGATAAACCACTTGGTAGAAACTGTGGCATCAGAAATAAAAAGAAACTATGACAGAACTATGGCCATGCAAGGAAGAGACAGGGAGGCAAATACCCCAGCGTCTCTTTGCTCAAAATCTTCCATTTCTTGCCCTGTCTCCATGGACCAAACTCAACTGGCAGCAAGAAGGGAGGGGAGACTGGGTGAATCAGTCCACAGAAGTCAGTCTCCTAGGGCACAGGGAAAGGCAGACAAAAACCTAGAGAACCAGGGTCAAACAGAGAACAATCAGAACAAATTTGTTGTTTATTATAGCATCATACATAAAAATGAAAATAGGCCAGTTGCGGTGGCTCATGCCTATAATCCCAGGACTTTGGGAGGCTGAGGTGGGCAGATCATGAAGTTAAGAGTTTGAGACCAGCCTGGCCAACATGGTGAAACCCCATCTCTACTAAAAGTACAAAAATTAGCCTGGCATGGTGGCGTGTGCCTGTAATCCCAGCTACTTGAGGGGCTGAGGCAGGAGAACCGCTTGAATCCAGGAGGCGGAGGTTGCCGTGAGCTGAGATTGCGTCATTGCACTCCAGCCTAGGGGACAGAGCGAGACTCCCTCGGTCTCAAAAAAAAAAAGAAAAGAAAAGAAAAGAAAAGAAAAGAAAGAAATTAATCCACTTCTCCTATAATAAAGTATTGGTTAAACAATTACT
Organism: Homo sapiens; assembly: GCF_000001405.40. Lineage (NCBI taxonomy): Eukaryota > Metazoa > Chordata > Mammalia > Primates > Hominidae > Homo > Homo sapiens. The sequence continues at coordinate 58,265,786 of NC_000011.10, read as the reverse complement.
ATGTAAAAAGATATTATTCAGCCTCAAATTTATATTTTCAAATACTAGTTATTAGTAATAGATAATATTAAGTGCTTCCTGTGTGCCAGAAATACATATTCTATCAATCTTCAAAAAGCTCATTAAGACTATTATCTCTGTTTTTTATATAAATGGGAGAGTTCTCAGAAAACAGACCCTGACAGTGAAACCAATATAGTAGGTTCCACTTACCTGCAGGTTTACTTTCCACAGTTGCAGTTACCCGCGGTCAATGCAATATAAAAATATTAAATAGAAAATTCCAGAAATGAGCAATTTGTAAGTTTTAAATTGTGTCCTGTCCGGAGTAAAGTGTTGAAATTCCAAGCCATCCTGCTCTATCCCACCTGGGAAATGAATCGTCCCTCCCTTTGTTCAGCATATCCACATTGAATACACTACCCATCTGTTACTATGTATAGAGTTCAGTACTATCCACAGCTTCAGGCATCTACTGCAGGAGTCGTGGACTGTATCCCCCTTGGACAAGGTAAGGGGGGACTATTGTATCTGTACATAACTATGGATCAGGAAACCAGTCCTAGGGAACATAATTGAGCTGTAATAAAGGAAGATTCTCTGCTGCCAGAGTGGAGGATACCAATAATGTGCCAAATTGGATTCAAAATTGCTACGGAATAGTGACTGCATTGTGCCTCCTGTTTCTCACCCTTTTGAATGGAGGTGTCTATTCTCATGTAAATATGGAGTTGATGCTAAGTACAAGATCCTCAATTTTGAGCCTGGATTGTAAATTTTATCTTTAAGATTTGTTTTATGGCACAACATATGTTTCATTCTGACATCCCACGTGTGTCCTGTGGATGTTGAGTGAAATCCATTAAGTCAGGTTAGCGAATAGTGTGGTTCTAATCTTCAATATCTATGCATATTTTTATCTACTTGTCTTACCAATTACTGAAGGAGATGGGCTTAAATCCACAACTGTTATTATGGATTTGTCCATCCCTCCCATTAGCTCTAACAATTTTTATTTTCTATATTTTGAATCTATTATTAGATGTAAGTATATTAAGATTTGTTCTATCTTGCTGATAAATTAACCATTTTTATCATTAAGCAATGCTCTTTTTAATTGCTGATAATCTGTCTGATCCAGAATTCTACTTTGTCTTAATAGCTGCATTGTCTTGTCTATACTTATATTTGCGTGATACTTATTGCTCTTCCCTTTTATTTGTAACTTTTTTCTCATATGTAAGGTGTGCCTCTTGTAAATAGCATGTAATTCATACTTTTTCTTTTTAACTTGCTCTTATTGGAGCGTGTATATACCATCTTCCCATATGTTTTTTATTTACTCCTTCTTTTCTTTGTTCTTTGGTTTCTCCTTTCCAACCTCTTTTTGAATTTATAGAGAATTTTTTTCTGCTATGTTGGCTTTTTAGCTATATTTTTTCATTTTATTTTGCGGCTGCATTCTTACCACAGCCTACCACAAATTATTATGATACCACTCCCGCAAATATGCATGAGACTTTTTAAAGTATAATTACATTTACTGCCCTCCCATATTTGTGCTCTTAATATATGATATTTCACTTATAAATTCCATCATAAATTGTTATTTTTGTTCTAAATAGTTAATCATTTTCAAATAAATTTTAAAATAGCATTTTACATTTTAACCTTAAATTTATGAATATTATAATTATCTTTTTTCTTTAACAATTTTAAAGATGTGATTTAATTTTCTTCTGGTTCCCATTATTTCTGATGAGAAATCATTTGTCTTCTCGGTTTGTTTTCCCACATTCAACATCCCTTCAGGATAAAAACTCTAAACAAATCAGGTATAGAAGGAACATTCCTCAATACAATAAGGCTATATATTAAAAACTCATGGTTAACCTCGTACCAAATGGTAAAAGTTGAAAGCCTTCCTCTAAGAACTGGAACAAGGATACCCACTTCTACCACTCTTATTTAACAAAGTACTGGAGTCCTAGACAGAGCAATAAGGCAAGAAAAAGAAACAAAGTGCGTCCAGATTGAAAAGGGGGAAGTCAAATTGTCCATCTTTGCAAATGACATAATCTTATATATTTTTAAAAAACCTAAAGACTTCATCAAAATAGTCTTAGAACTGATGAACAAATTTCAGTAAAGACTCAGGGTGCAAAATACACATACAAAAACCACTTGGTGTTTACTTCCACACACTAATAACAAACTAGCTAGAAAAAAAGCAAAAAAGCAATCCCATTTATAATAACTACTCCTAAAAAATACCTAAGAATATACTTAACAAAGGAAGTAAAATATCTCTACAATAAAAAGTACAAAACAATGATGAAAGAAATTGAAGAGGACACAAAAAAATGGAAAGACACCCCAAGTTTATGGATTGGAAAATCAATATTGTTAAAATGACCATATTACCTAAAACAATCTACAGATTCAGTGCAGTTTCTATCAAATACCCATGGCATTCTTCACAGAAATTGAGAAAACAATATCAAATTCATGGGTAACCACAAAAAGTCTAAATAGCCAAAGAAATACTGAGCAAAAATCACAAAGCTGGAGGCATCACACTACCTAACTTTAAAATATGCTACAAAGCTATAGTAACAAAAACACTATCATATTAGCATCACACTACCTAACTTTAAAATATACTACAAAGCTATAGTAACAAAAACACTCATACTAGCATAAAAGCAGCTATATAGATTAAGGAGCAGAACAGAGAACTCAGAAATTAATCCATGTATTTTCAGCAAACCAATATTTTATACAGTTGCCAAGAACATACACTGGGGAAAGGACAGTCTCTTTAACAAATGATGCAGAGAAAACTGGATACCTATATGCAGAAAAATGAAACTAGATTCATCTCTTAACCATATGCAAAAGTCAATTCAAAACAGATTAACAATGCAAATTTAAAACATGAAACTAAAAAAGCTATAAGAAAACATAGGAGAAACTCTTCAGGACATTAGTCTAGCCAAAGATTTTGTGTGTAAGACTTCAAAAGCATAGGCAATATAAACAAGAATAGGCAAATTAGACTATATCAAACTAAAAAGCTTCTGCACAGGAAAGAAAACAACCAACAAAATGAAGAGACAGTCTGCAGAATGGGAAAATATATTTGCAAACTATTCATCCAGAGAGGGACTAACATCCATAATACACAAAAAATTTAAACAACTGAACAGCAGAAAGAAAAATCAAAACAAAGAATCCAATTTTAAAATGGGCAAAAACATCTGAAAAGACATTTCTCAAAAGAAAACATAAAAATGACCAACAGGTATATGAAAAAAATGCTCAACATTATTATTCATCAGGTAAATGCAAATCAAAGCCACAAGGAGATACCATCTCACCCCAGTTAGAACGGCTATTATAAAGACATAAAATAAGAAATAGACCAATGGAACAGAACAGAGACCTCAGAAATAATACCACACATCTACAACCATCTGATCTTTGACAAACCTGACAAAAACAAGAAATGGGGAAATGATCCCCTGTTTAATAAATGGTGCTGGGAAAACTGGCTAGCCATATGTAGAAAGCTGAAACTGGATCCCTTCCTTACACCTTTTACAAAAATTAACTCAAGATGGATTAAAGACTTAAATGTTAGACCTAAAACCATAAAAACACTAGAAGAAAACCTAGGCAATACCATTCAGGACATAGGCATGTGCAAAGACTTCATGTCTAAAACACCAAAAGCAATGGCAACAAAAGCCAAAATTGACAAATGGGATCTAATTAAACTAAAGAACTTCTGCACAGCAAAGGAAACTACCATCAGAGTGAACAGACAACCTACAGAATGGGAGAAAATTTTTGCAAGCTACTCATCTGGCAAAGGACTAATATCCAGAATCTACAATGAACTCAAACAAATTTACAAGAAAAAAAAACCCCATCAAAAAGTGGGTGAAGCATATGAACAGACGCTTCTCAAAAGAAGACATTTATGCAGCCAAAAGACACATGAAAAAATGCTCATCATCACTGGCCATCAGAGAAATGCAAATCAAAACCACAATGAGATACCATCTCACACCAGTTAGAATGGCGATCATTAAAAAGTCAGGAAACAACAGGTGCTGGAGAGGATGTGGAGAAATAGGAACACTTTTACACTGTTGGTGGAACTGTAAACTAGTTCAACCATTGTGGAAGACAGTGTGGCGATTCCTCAAGGATCTAGAACTAGAAATACCATTTGACCCAGCCATCCCATTACCGAGTATATACCCAAAGGATTATAAATCATGCTACTATAAAGACACATGCACATGTATGTTTATTGCAGCACTATTCTTATTTGGAACCAACCCAAATGTCCATCGATGATAGACTGGATTAAGAAAATGTGGCACACATACACCATGGAATACTATGCAGCCATAAAAAACGATGAGTTCATGTCCTTTGTAGGGACATGGATGAAGCTGGAAACCATCACTCTCAGCAAACTATCGCAAGGACAAAAAAACCAAACACCGCACGTTCTCACTCATAGGTGGGAATTGAACAATGAGAACACTTGGTCACGGGGTGGGGAACATAACACCCTGGGGCCTGTTGTGGGACAGGGGGAGGGGGGAGGGATAGCATTAGGAGATATACCTAATGTAAATGTCGAGTTATTGGGCACAGCACACCAACATGGCACGTGTATACATATGTAACCTGCACGTTGTGCACATGTACCCTAGAACTTAAAGTATAATAATAAAAAAAAACTGCTAGCAACGATGCAGAAAAAAGAAAATTCTTATACACCATTGGTAAAAGTGTAAATTAGTACAGCTATTATTAAAAAGAGTATTGACGTTTCTGTGAAAACTAAAAGTAGAACTACCACATGATCCAGAAAGCCACTACTGGGTCATTCTCCAAAGGAAGATAAATCAGAATATCAAAGAGATACCTGCAGTGCCATGTTTAGTGCAGATCTATTCACAGTAGTGAAGGTATGGAATGAAGTGAAATATCCATCTACAAATGAATGGATGATGAAAATGTGGGATATATAAACAATAGAATAGTATTCAGCCGTAAAAAATAATGAAATTCTGTCATCCGCAGCAACATGAATGAACCCAGGGGACAATATGTTAATTGAAATGTCAGACACAATAAAGTAAATACTGCACATTCTCACTCATATGTAGAAACTGAAACAAAATTGAGCTCATAGAAGTAGAAAGTAAAACTATGGTTATTTGAGGTTGGGAAGGGTAGACAAGTTCAGAAGATAGGAGAGATTTGTGAATGAATACAAAATTACAGCTAGATGGGTGGAATAAATTCTAATGTTCTGTAACACTATAGGGTATATATGGTTAAAATTAATTTAGCATATATATTTTAAAAGCTATAAGAGAGAATGTTGAATGTTTACAACACAATAAAATAAATGTTCAAGGTGACAGATATGCTAATTACCCTGATTTGATCAATACACATCATATATGTGTATTAAAATATCACTCTGTATTCCATAATTGTGTACACTTATTACATGTCAACTAAAAATAAAGGTAAAAAACAAAAAATTGAAATATCACGTGATCCAACAATCTCACTATTTGATATTTATCCAAAGGAAAGTAAATCAGTATAACAAAGAAACATCTGCACCCCTACGTTCACCTCAGCACTATTCATAATACCCAAGGTATGGAATCAACCTAAGTGTTCAAGGTAAAAATACACAATGGGATAATATTCAGTCATAAAAATATTAAAATCCTCTCACTTGTGGCAATGTGGATGAGCTTGAAAAACATTATGTTAAGTAAAATGTTAGGCGCAGAAACATAAATATTGCATGTTCTTATTCATATGTAGAAGATAAATAATTTTACCTCATCTAAATAGTGAGTAGAATTGTGGTTATTAGAGCCTGGTAAGGGTAGAGTGAGGATAGGATAGAAGGAGGATAGTTAATGAATACAAAAGTACACCTAGATTGGAGAAATAAGTTCTAGTGTTCTACAGCATTATAGGGGGACTACAGTTAACAAAAAATTATTTCATATTTTTAAATGGCTAAAGAGAATTCTGAATGTTTCCGACACAAAGAAATGATAAATGTTTGATATAATGGATATACTAATTAACTTGATTTTATCATTAAACATTGTATACCTGTATTAAAATATTACTCTCTACCCCACAAATATGTACAATTTGAATAAATTGTGTCAATTTGAATAAATAAGCAAATATTTCACAACAAACAAAAGCAAAAAAAGTTAATAATGAAAAATGTGACATGAAGTTTAAGCAAGCAAAAAGGATTGAAAATATAATAAATTTATAACAAGATAAAGAAACAAATAACATCTGTATAACAAGAACAGGAGTCTATGGAGAAAAAATTAATTATGAGTTAGAAATAGACCAATATGGAAACAAAAGGAAATAATAGAAATAAAAAATAGCCTTTAAAAAAAGTTTAATAGGTGGCACAAACATGTGACAAAACAACTTACATGAAATGAAAATCAGCAAATTGAAACCAAGATTGAGAAATCCCACAGAATACAGCCAGACACATAGGGCTATTGAAATATGAGAGAGTTTAACAAATAATTCCATTAAAAGGTAGGCAAATGACATAAATAGACATTTCTCAAAGGAAGATATACAAATGGCTAAATAACATCTGAATAAAAATACTCAACATCATTAATCATCAGGGAAATGCAAATTAAAACCATAGTGAGATACCACCTTACCCCAGCCAGAATGAGCATTAGTAAAAAGTCAAAAAACAATAGTTGTTTGTGTAGATGTGGTGAAAAGGGAAAGCTTACACACTGCTGGTGGGAATGTAAGTTAATACAACCTTTATGGGAAACAGTATGGAGATTTCTCAAAAATCTAAAAGTATATCTACCATTTTATCCAGCAATTTCACTACCGGGCATATACCCAAAGGAAAATAAGTCATTATATCAAAAAGACACCCGCGCATCTATGTTTATTGCAGCACAATTCACAGTTCCAAAGATAGGGAGTCAACTTAAGTGCCCATCAACCAAGGAGTGAATAAGGAAAATGTAGTACATACACACTGTGGAATACTACTCAGCCACAAAAGAAAAATAAAATAATGTCTTATGCAGCAACTTTGATGGAACTGGAGGGCATTATTCTAAATGAAGTAACTCGGGAATGGAAAACCAAATATCATGTAATCTTACTTATAAGTGGGAGCTAAACTGTGGGTACACAAAGGCATACAGGACGGTATAACAGGCATTGGAGACTCAGAGGGGAAGAGGGTGGGAGCGGTGAAAGAGAAAAACTATATTGGATACAATGTATACCACTCAGGTGACAGGTGCACTAAAATTTCAGACTTTACCACTGTACAATTCATCCATGTAATCAAAAACCACTTGTACCCCTAAAGCTATTGAAATACTAAAATAAAAACAAAATAAATTTTTTAAAAATATGAGAACATATAAAAGACAATGAGGATTCATAAATTATTTAAATAAATATTTAATGTAAATGCTGTGTACCTCTTAAGAAAAGCGTTGTTGTAGACTCTGTAAATTCAGTGGTAAAACAAAGTCCCAAGTACAGAAAATAAAATAGGTAATTAATGACAGAATCTGTCGGTTGTTTTATATGATGTGAAGAAAAATAAGAAAAAATAAGAGGAGCACAGAAAGTCAAAATTTTTTTTATGAAGAGTTACATGGGATTCCTTCTTGGATGAGGCAATATACATCTATTGTAGCAATCTAGGCAAGTATAGTTGACCATCCATTCCCACAGGTTCCACATTGCATATTCAACCAACCTTGGATTGGAAATATTTCAGAAAGAGAGAGAAAGTTTACAGAAGGAGATAATATATTTGCAATATATGTCAAATAAGGGGTTAATCCAAAATATATAAGGAATTCTGAATCATTGAGCAGAGAGATGAAAGTGCAAAAAACAAGACATATGAACATCTGTCAGAAAACCATTTCAGGCAGAGCAAAGAGCAAATACAGATTCTTTAAAGTAAGAGTGTGTTGACATGCTCAATACTGCTGCTACTGTAGAAAATGAGGAGGGGAAGAATCCTTATGGTAATGTAGTGACAGATGATGATGGTGATTGATGATAATGATGGTGATGAGGATGGTGATTGATGATAATGATGGTGTTCGTGGTGGTGATGATGGTCATGGCAACTGATAATGATAATAATGTTGATGGTGTTGATGCTTATATGATGATGATGGGGATAATAATGGTAGTGGTATTGGTGGTAATGATAATAATAATGGTGATGATAGCTAACATGTACCGATAGCTTGCATGGTTTGACTCATTTTATCCTTACCAAAACATTAGGAGGGAGATATTATTATTATATCCAACTTATAGATAAGGAAACTCATGCACGGAGAAGTTAAATAATTTTCCATGGTAACAAAACTAGTAAGAGGTCCAGCCAGGGATCAAACCCAGACAATGTGTCATCTTAATCATTATCAGTAGGCTCTGTTGCTCCTCACAAAACTGCAGGGAAGCTGTGTTGCTTGAGGCACTAAGTGAAAGGTAGGGCAGCAGAAGGTGGTGTGGTCAGAGATGATGTCAAAAATAACACAGAGTCAAGATCACAGGAATTTATAGGCCAAAGTAAGGACTTTGATTTTACTCTAAGTAAGATTCAAAGACACTGAAAGGATTTGAGCAGAGGAATAGCACTATCAGACTTACATGTTAAATGAATCACCCCGCCTGCAAAGTAGAAAATATACTATTTTAGAGAAATATTGAATCAGAATCTTTTTACGCATCTATTGTAACAATCTAGGCAAGTATAGACAGTCTTACATTTCCTCAGGTTCCATATTGTGGATCCAACCAACCACAAATTGAAATTTAAAAAGAGAGAGAGATAACATACAGAATGAGAAAATATACTTGCAAACTTTATACCTAGTAAGAAAAAAGACCAAAATTACAACTGAATCATCAGAACTGAAACCAAAAATCAAAGGGAAAGTGCCAGAGCCTAGCAGAGAGCTCAGGGCAAGAAGCCGGAGCACAAAAAAAGATGGGAACAAGAGGCTGGCAGAGATAAGCTAGGAACACCAAGAGAGTTAGTATTTCATTGAAAGGATAGTTGGGAATGTTTTGGCTCCCCTTTCCCCTGCAGCAGACCATCAATATCTAAACTATCAGAGAACTCTTCTGCCCTCCTGAATACAGATACTGGTATGGGCAGTGATTTGGAAACTTACTGAAAGCATTACACCAGACTATCAACTCATACAGGGTCACTCACTCTGCCCTCATACCCAAACAGCAGTGGTGGGGCACCATACTGGGGGTGCAGCCATCCGGAGACTATGTCCTGCTCAGAGAACCTCAGCTCTTGTGTCTCCACATAACTGGAGCCTCCACAGACATTCCCAAGCACTATAACTGTGGCAGTCACTCAGGGCTGGCTGGACCCAGGGGGAGATGTAGGAGTCCCAGTGGTCTAGCTCTTGGGGAGTGCTGCTCCTAAGGAAAGGGAGAGCGCAGTGCACCAAAATATCACCTGTTGGAACAAAGGAAACAGAATATATGCTTTTCTGTGCCTGAGAGCTCACTACTTTTGGACTGTGAATGATTGTACCACTTCCAGCAGAGATGTGGGCACTGTGCTCAGCTCTGCGAAGGAAGAGTGTAGTTCCATCTCCCCAGCCAAGCAGCCTCAATGTTCCAGTCCAGGTGTAAAGAGGGGGATTTCTCCTTCTCCTTCCCACCCTCTCACTGCTGCAGACACAGGCAAAGCTGCTTCCACAGAAAATTGAGACAGGGGTGCTAGAAGACAGCCTTTTTAAGGCTATTAGGGGTAACAGCATCCACAGTGGCAGTGTGTCCCCCAGGTTCGGGCTTGCATGAAATACAGGACCCCTTACCCCTTTCTAGACAAGAGTGGTAGCGTTTCTGCAGAATGGAGTAGGAGAACAAAAAAGCTGTGTGTTTTGGATTGAAAAAGGAGGTTCCACACTGAAGACATTTTAGCAGTGAATTGTGGGGCAGGAATCTTTTGTGGCTTTTGCCTACACTGCAGACTGGAGATAGACAGAGTTGTCTGACCAATCTGAGTGTCCCAAGAGCTAGGACAGGGGTGTGATAAGGAAAGAAAGAAGTGATAGTTTTTCCAGATGAGAAGATTCTGGAAATATGAATAATCATGGTGTCACTACACTCGCAAAGGATCACACTAACTCTCTAGCAATTCATCCTAACCAAAATGAAATCTTTGAAATACCAGGTGAAGAATTTAACATATTTATTTTAAAGAAGTGCAATGAAATTCAAAAGAAAGTTATAAAACCAACACAAAAATAAAAAAATCAACTCAGGATGTGCATGAAAAATTTACCATAAAGATAGTTTTAAAAAAAGAACTTCTGGAAATGAAAAAATTGTTGAAAGAATTAAAAAATATACTTTAAAAGCTTTAACAATTGACTATACCAAGCAGAATGAATAATCTCAGAGCTTGAAGACAAGACTTTCAAACTAACTCAGCTGGAGAAAAAAAATTGAAAAAGGAATTTGAAAATGAACAAAGCCTTCAAGAAGTATGAGATTACATGAAATGTTCAAACCTATGAGTCATAGGTATTCGTAAGAGAGAAGAAAAAGTAAAAAATTTGAAAAACCCATTTAAGGAAATAATTGAGGAAAACTTGCCTAGTCTTGACAGAGATTTAGATATCCAAATACAAGAGGATCAGAGAACATCAAGCAAATACATTGCAAGAAGGATTTCATCAAGATACATAGTCATCAGACCATTTAAAGTCAAAGTGAAGGAAAAGACCCTACGATCAGCAAGAGAAAAGCATTTAGTCACCTATAAAGAAAATCCCATCAAACCGAGAGCGGACGTCTCAGTAGAAACCTTAGAAGCCAGAAGAGATTGGAGTCCCATTTTCAGACTTCTTAATGAAAAAAAAAAAAAAAAAAACCCCGTCAACTGTGAATTTTGTTTCCTGGTAGAATAAGCTTCAGAAATCAAGGAGAATTAAGGTATTTCAAAGATAAGCAAATGCTAAGAGAATTTGTCATCACTAGCCCAGGCCTACAAGAAATGCTCAAAGCAGCTCTAAGCATGAGAATGAAAGATTGATGCTTGCCACCATAAAAACACATTAAACTATAAAATTCATAGGTCATATAAAGTGAAACTGCAAAGCAGTACAAGTGAGACTGCAAAGCAGGTAGGTGTCAATTAACATTATGATAGGAAAAAAAACTAATATATTAATATGAACCTTGAATGTAAATGCCCTAAATGCTACACTTAAAAGATAGATATTAGTGGGATTAACAGACAACCTACAGAATTGGGGGAAATATTTGCAAATTATGCATCTGATAAAAGACTAATATCCAGAATCAACAAGGAACTGAAACAAGTAAACAAGAAAACAAATAACACCATAAAACATGGGCAAAGGACATAAACAGACATTTTTCAAAAAAGACATACAAATGGCCAAGAAGCATATGAAAAGAATGCTCAACATGATTAATCATCAGAGAAATGCAAATTAAAACCACAATGAGATACTATCTTCAATTAGTCAAAATAGCTATTATTAAAAAGTCAAAAATAACAGATGTTGGTGAGGATGCAGAGAAGAGGGAACACTTATACACTGTTAGTGGGAATGTAAATTAGTTCAACCTGTATGAAAAGCAGTTTGGAGATTTCTCAAAGAACAAAAAATAGATCTACCATTTGAATTAGCAATTCCACTACTGTGTATATATTCAAAGGAAAAGAAATCATTATATCAAAAAGACACTTGCACTTGTATGTCTATTGAAGCAGTGTTCACAATAGCAAAGACAGGGACTCAGTATAAGTGTCCATCCATGGATGACTGGATAAAGAAAAAATGGCATATGTATGCCATGGAACACTACTCAGCCATTAAAAAAATAAAATCATGACTTTTGCACCAACATGGATGGAACTGGAGGCCGTTATCTTAAATTACTCAGAAATAAAAAGTCAAATGCTACATGTTCTCACTTGTAAGTAGAAGCTAAATAGTGTGTACATATGGATATAGAGAGTGGAATAATAGACATTGGAGACTTAGAAAGGTGGGAGGGTGAGAAGGGAGTAAAGGATGAGAAATTACCTAAATTACCAACCATATATGACAGACCTATAGACAGTATCATACTGAGTGAATAAAACTCAAAGCTGTCCCACTAAGATCTAGAACGAGGATGCCCACTTACACCACTGTTATTCAACATAGTACTAGAAGTCCTAGCTAGAGTAATCAGACAAGAGAATGATATAAAGGGATACAAATTGGAATGTAAGAAGTCAAATTATCCTTGTTTGCAGATGACATAATTTTATGTTTGGATAAAACCTAAGAACTCCACAAGAAAACCATTAGAACCGATAAATAAATTCATTAAAGTTGCAGGATATAGAATCAACATATAAATATCAGTAACATTTCCATATGTCAACAGTGAACAATCTGAGAAAGAAATTTTAAAAGTAATCCCACTTACAATAGCCATGAATAAAATTAAATACCTAGGAATTAAGTTATTGAAAGAAGTGAAAGATTCCTATAATAAAAACTATGAAACACTGATTAAAAAAATGGACAAGGACAACAAAAAATGGAAAAATATTCCATGTTCATGGATTGGAAGAAACAATATTGTTAAAATGTTCATACTACCTAATGCAGTCTACAGATTCAATGCAATCCCCATGAAATACCAATAACATTCCCCACAGAAATAGAAAAAAACTGTTTTAAAATTTATATGGAACCACAAAAGACCCAGAATAGCCAAAGCTTTTCTAAGCAAAAATAACAAAACTGGAGTAATTACATTAGCTGAATTCAAATTATACTACAGAGCTATAGTAACCAGAACAGCATGGTACTGGCAATAAAAACAGACACAGAGATTAAAGGAACAAAACAGAGAACCCAGAAACAAATCCACACGCCTACAGTGAACTCATTTTCAACAAAGGTGCCAAGAATATACATTGGGGAAAAGACAGACTCTTCAATAAATGGTGTTGGGACAACTAGATAGACATATGCAGAAGAATGAAACCCTTAACTCTCACCATATTCAAAAATCAAATCAAAATGGATTAAAGACCTCATACTATGAAACTACTGCAAGAAAACATTGGGGAAATTCCTCAGGACATTGGTCTGGGAAAAATTTCTTAAGCAGTACCTCACAAGCAAAGGTACCCAAAGCAAAAATGGATAAATGGGATCACATCAAGTTAAAAAGCTTCTGCACGGCAAAGCATACAATCAACAAAGTGAAGAGACAACCCATAGACTAGAAGAAAATGTTTGCAAACTACCCATCTGACAATGGATTAATAACCAGAATATATAAGGAGCTCAAACAACTCTGTAGGAAAAAAATCTAATAATCCAATTTTAAAAATGGGTAAAAGATTTGAATAGACATTTCTCAAAAGAAGACATACAAATGGCAAACATGCATATGAAAAGATGTTCAACATAATTCATCATCAGAAAAATGCAAATCAAAACAACAATGAGGCATCATCTCACCCCAGTTAAAATGACTTATATCCAAAAGACAGTAACAAATGCTGGTGAGGATGTGGAGAAAAGGGAACTCTAGTACACTGTTGATGGGAAAGTAAATTAGTACAACCACCTTTGGAAAACAGTTTGGAGTTTCCTCAAAAGCTAAAAATTGAGCTACCACATGGTCCAGAAATCCCACCGCTGGATATATACCCAAAAGAAAGAAAATCAGTATATCAAAGAGATATCTGCACTCCCATGTTTATTGCAGGAATGTTTATAATAGCTAAGATTTGGATGCCACCTAAGTGCCCATAAATGGATTAATGGATAAAAGAAAATGTGGTACATATACACAATGGGGTATTATTCAGCCACAAAAAAGAATGAGATCCAGTCATTTCCAACCTGTATAGAACTGGAGATCATTATGTTAAGTGAAATAAGTCAGGCACAGGAATACAAACATTGCATGTTCTCACTTATTTGCTGGATCTAGAAACAAAACGATTGATCTCACAGACATAGAGAGGAGAAGGATGGTTACCAGAGGCTGGTAAGTATAGTTGGGGGTTGAGGTGGGGAGATGGAGATCATTAAGGGGTACAAAAAGAAAGTTAGAAATAATGAATAAGACCTACTATTTGATAGTACAACAGGGTGTCCATAATCAATAATAACCACATTGTACATTTTGAATAACTTATAAAGTGTGATTTGATTATTTATAACTCAAAGGATGAATGCTTGAGGAGATGGATACCCCATTCTCCATGGTGGGCTTATTTCACATTGCATGCCTGTTGCAAAATCTCAAGTACCCCACAGATATGTACACCTACCATGTACCCACAAAAAGTAATTTTGGAAAACATATGCTAATACCACACCATTTTATATAAGACACTTGAGCATCAACAGATGTCGATACCTTCGGTGTTTAATGGAACTAATCCCCCAGGGACACTGAGAGATGACTGTAATTATATTCTGGATATATTTTGAAGGTAAATTGAGTACAATTTTATACAGACTAGATATGGGGCATAAGTAAAACAGAAGAGTCAAGTGTAACTCTAAAACTTTTTTTGATCTAAGAAAGTAGAATGAGATGTCACTTACTAAAATGAAGAATCATGTGAGAAAATCAAATGTAGTGGAGAAATTTAAGAATTATGTTTTGGGTATGTTGCATTTGAAATATCTTTTAAATATTTAGCTCAAGAGTTCAGAAGAGCTATAACTACCAACAAATTTAGAAATCATTAGCATATTGATGGCATTTTAAATTCCCTCTCTTCATTTTTATCCTCTCAATATTCTTGGCTAGACTCTCATTACTGTTCTGACACCCAAATGTTGATATGCACCAGGGCTCAGTCCCTGATCCTTTTCTTTTTTCTGTCTTTACTGACATCTTAAAGTAACCTTGTTTGGTGCCATGGTTTGTAATATATTTAAAATGATTGAAAGGGCCTCATATAGATTAATTATTCAAAAAATCAGCAATGTTATTAGCTATTACCACTGCCTTAGAATCACTGACCACAGCAGGCTTCATGCTACTGAGCTTGAAACAATTTGTCTTTGCAATTACTGTGGAACATGCTTGATTATGCATTTCGAACTTGTCATTACTAATTCTGCTGAATGAAGCTAGAGATTTATCAAGAGATTTAGAGAAAAGCAAAACACATCTAAATATAGGCTACTTGTGCACTTAACTAGTATGGTACTTTTGTATGGTACTCATACAAAAACAGACACATACACCAATGGAACACAATAGAGAACACAGAAATAGGGCTGCGCACCTACAACTATCTGATCTTTGACAAACCTGGCAACAACAAGCATTGGGGAAGTATTTCCTTTTTAATAAATGGCGCTGGGATAACAGGCTAGCCATATGCAGAATATTGAAACTGGACCTCTTCTTTACACCATATAAAATTTTAACTCAAGATGTATTAATGAGTTAAATGTAAAACCCAAACTATAAAAACCCTGGAAGATGACCTAAGCAATACCATTCTGGATATAGAAACAGACTAAACAGTGTAAGAGTTCATGACAAAGAGGTCAAAAGCAATTGCAACAAAAGTAAAAAAAAAAAATGACAAGTGGGATCTAATTAAACTGAAGAGCTTCTGCACAGAAATAGAAACAGCAGAGTAAACAGACAAACTACAGAACAGGAGAAAGTATTCACAAACTATGTGTCCAACAAAAATCTAATATCAAGCATCCATAAGGAAGTTAAATAAATTTACAAGAAAAAAATAACCCCATTAAAAAGTGAGCAAAGGACACGAACAAGCACTTTTCAGAAGAAGACACACATGTGAGCAACAGTCATATGAAAAAAGCTCAACATCACTGATCATTAGATAAATGTAAGTCATACTACAATGAGATACCATCTCACACCAGTCACAATGCCTGTTATTAAAAAGTCAAAAGATAACAGATGCTGGTGAGGTTATGGAGAAAAAGGAACGTGTATACACTGTTAGTGAAAGTGTAAGTTAGTTTCATTATGGAAGACAGCGTGGTGATTCCTGAAAGACCCAAAGACGGAAATATTTTTTGATCAAGCAGTCCTGTTACTGGGTATATACCCAAAGGAACATAAAACATTCTATCATAAGGATATATGCATGCATATGTTCATCACAGCACTATTCACAATAGCAAAGACATTGAATCAACCTAAATGCCTATCAATTATAGACTGTATAGAGAAAATATGGTACATATACATGATGGAATACTATGCAGCCATACAAAACAATGAGATCGTGTTCTTTGCAGGAACCTGGATGGAGCTGGAGGCCATTATTCTTGGCCAACTAACACAGGAACCAGAAAACCAAATACCACATGTTCTCACTTATAAATGGAAGCTAATAATGAGAACACATGGACACACAGAGAAGAACAACACACACTGGGGAATTTGGGAGAGTGAAAGATGAAAGGAGGGAGAGGAGCAGGAAAAATAACTAATGGGTACTAGGCTTAATACTTGGGTAATAAAATCATCTGTACAACAAACCCCCATGACACAAGTTTACCTATGTAAAAACCTGCACATGCATGTACCCCTGAACTTAAAAGAAAAATAGATTTTAAAAAGTGGTTTGCTTACCAAAATTACAGTATTAGAGTATCCTGAATTTGTCCATTTTCTTTTACCCATGAGTTTTATAACTTCAGACATTTACTTGTACATGTTAGCAACCATTTCTTTCAGACTGAAGAATTCTTTTTAGTATTTCTTATAAGACATGTCTGGTATTCATAAATTCCCTCAGCTTTTTTATTTATTTTCATTTTTTTGTCTTGGACACTCTATCTTTCCTTCATGTTTGAAGGATAGCTATTCTGGGTCCAATATTCTTGGTTGGTAGTTTTTTTTTTTTTTCTTCAGCAATTTGAATATAGCACCCTAATCTCTCCTGGCTTGCAGGATTTCTGCTGAAAAATCTGCTAAAAGTCTTACTGAGGCTCTGTTAATTGTGCTGATTGTTTCTTTTTTCTTCCTGCTTTGAGTATTATCTTTGTCATTAATTTTCACTTAGATAATTACTCTTTGGGTAGAATTTGATTGCTGACTTCTGAGCTTCTTTTTACTGGATGCTGTTGTCTTTCTCTAGATTTGGGAAGTTTTCAACCATAATTTTATTA
Source organism: Homo sapiens (assembly GCF_000001405.40). Lineage (NCBI taxonomy): Eukaryota > Metazoa > Chordata > Mammalia > Primates > Hominidae > Homo > Homo sapiens. Next base: position 58,248,480 of record NC_000011.10, on the reverse strand, counting down.
AATATGCTTTCAAGATCTTTTTCTCTCTCATTTTCTTTGGGAATTTCAGTTATGTAGAGGTTTGTTCACTTGGTGGTATCCCATAATTCTTGCAGACCTCCTTCACTTTTTAAAATTCTTTTTTTCTTTCTGATCTGCTGATTGGCTAATTTTATATGTTCTGCCTTGAAGGTCACTAATTCTTTTCTTTGTTTCATCAAGTTTTTCATTTACTATTGTATTCTTTATTTCTAAGATTTCTACTTTTTTACTTTAATTTTTTATTTCAAGGATACATGTGCAGGTTTGTTATATAAGTAAATTTGTGCCCTGGGGGTTTGCTGTACAGATTATTTCATCACACAGGCATTAAACCTAGTACCCATTAGGTATTTTTCCTGATACTCTCCCTCCTCCCACCTTCCTGTCTCCAATAGACCCACGTGTGTTTTTCTTCTGTATGTGTTCATCATTTAGCTCCCACTTATAACTAAGAATATGTGGTATTTGATTTTCTGTTCCTGCATTAGTTTTCTAAGGATAATGGCTTCCAGCTCCATCTGAATTCCTGCAAAGAACATAATCTCATTCTTTTTTATGGCTGCATAGTATTCCATGGTGTATATATACCACATTTTCTTTATCCAACCTACCATTGATAGGCATTTAGATTTGCTATCGTGACTAGTGCTGTGATGAATATATGCATGCATATGTCCTTATGATAGAATGTTTTATATTCCTTAGGGTATATACCCAGTAACAGGATTGCTGGGTCAAATGGTATTTCCATCTTCGGGTCTTTCAGGAGTCACCATGCTGTCTTCCACAATGGTTGAACTAATTTACACTTTGATTAACGGTGTATACACGTTCCTTTTTCTCCATAACCTCACCAGCATCTGTTATCTTTTGACTTTTTAATAACAGGCATTGTGACTGGTGTGAGATGGTATCTCATTGTAGTATGACTTACATTTATCTAATGATCAGTGATGTTGAGCTTTTTTCATATGACTGTTGCTCACATGTGTGTCTTCTTCTGAAAAGTGCTTGTTCGTGTCCTTTGCTCACTTTTTAATGGGGTTATTTTTTTCTTGTAAATTTATTTAACTTCCTTATGGATGCTTGATATTAGATTTTTGTTGGACACATAGTTTGTGAATACTTTCTCCTGTTCTGTAGTTTGTCTGTTTACTCTGCTGATAGTTTCTATTTCTGTGCAGAAGCTCTTCAGTTTAATTAGATCCCACTTGTCATTTTTTTTTACTCTTGTTGCAATTGCCTTTGACCTCTTTGTCATGAACTCTTACACTGTTTAGTCTGTTTCTATATCCAGAATGGTATTGCTTAGGTTGTCTTCCAGGGTTTTTAGTTTTGGATTTTACATTTAAGTTTTTAATCTATCTCGAGTTAAAATTTGTATATGGTGTAAGGAAGAGGTCCAGTTTCAATCTTCTGCATATGGCTAGCCTGTTATCCCAGCACCATTTATTAGAAAGAGAATACTTTCCCCATTGCTTGTTTTTGTCACGTTTGTTGAAGATCAGATAATTGTAGGTGTGCTGCCCTATTTCTCTGTTCTCTGGTGTGTTCTATTGGTGTGTGTGTCTGTTTTTGTACAAAAACCATGCTGTTTTGATTACTATAGCCCTATAGCACAGTTTTAAGTCTGGTAGCATGATGCCTCCAGCTTTGTTCTTTTCGCTTAGGATTGCTTTGGCTATTCGGTCTCTGTAAACCACTTAAATCTCAAGTATGAAAACTAAAAGACAAACTACTAAAAAAAAAATCTTCAACAGTTAGATAAGAGACAGGCAATATAAAAAATCTAAATTTAAGGTGAGCACGCTGGTGCATGCCTGCAATCCCCACATTTTGGGAGGCCAAGGCAGGAAGATCATTTGAGGCAATGAGTTCAAGACAAGCCTTGGGAATATAGCAAAATGCTATCTCAATAAAAGATAAAAATAATTAACTGGGCATGGTAGCTTGTGCCTGTAGTCCCAGCTAATTGGGAAGATGAGGTGGGAGGGTTGCTTGAACCCAGGAGTTTGAGGCTGCAGTGAGCCATGATCACACCACTGTACTCCAGCCTAGATGACACAGTGAGTCCCTGACTCAAAAAATAAAAGAAAATAAGAGACTTAAAGAGGATGTAAGTCGAAACATCAAAAAGTCAAAATGTAGAGGGATGATATTCAAGTGTAGAGTTTGTTTTTGATACTTTTTGTGATCAAAGTCCTTATCAATATAAAATAACCTGTCATAACTATGAGATAATTTTTTAAGCCTCATGGTAACCAGAAAGCAAAAACCTATAATAGAAATTGCATAGAATCAAAACATACTACTAGAGAAAATAATTACCCACAAAGGAAGACAGTAAGACAGGAAAAAGGAAAGAGAGAATCCCAAAAGAAAATAAGTAACCAGAAAAATCAGTAATAAATGCTATCAATAATAACTATGAATGTAAATGGATTAATTCACTAATGAAAGACATAGAGTGGCTGAACTGATTGACAAACAAGACCCAACTATACACTGTGTACAAGAAACTCACTTCACCTATAAAGACATACACAGACTGAAAATGAAGGAATTAAAAGAAGATATTTTATATAAATGGAAACCAAAAATATCAGGAGTAGCTATACTTAAAGAGAATACACTTTTAAGACAAGAATGGTTTTAAAAAGACAAAGATCATTAAATAATGTAAAAGCAGTTTATATGGCAAGAGGATACACCAATTGTAAATATATGTGTGTTGAACACTGGGGCACCCAAATAAATAAAACAAACATTAAAAGACCTAAAGGTAGAGTTAACTGCAATACAATAATAGTAGGGGATTTCAACTCTCCACTTTCAGCAATCTAGAAACTACACTCTAGACCAGCAGTTTCCAATCTTTTTGTCACCAGAAACCAGTCTCATGAAAGACAACTTTTCCACGGACTGAGGTTGGGGAGGGTGATTTCAGGATGATTCAAGTGCATTACATTTATTGTGCACTTTTTTCCAACTCACTTGCCACTATAAAGGCTGAGACCGGGTGCAACTTAATTGTCACTTGCTACTCACTTACAGGGTTTTGATATGAGTCTGCAAGTAATTTATTTATTACGGTCTCTGTGCAGTCAAACCTCTCTACTAATGTTAATCTGTATTGGGAGCTGCTCCCTAGAGCTAGCATCACCACCTCAGCTCTACCTCAGATCATCAGGCATTAGATTCTCATATGGAGCACACAACCTAGATCCCTCACATGCCCAGTTCAAGATAGGGCTGGCACTCCTGTGAGAATCTAATGCTGCTTCTTATCTGACAGAAGGTGAAGTTCAGGCTGTAATGCAAACAATGGGAGAGGCTGTAAAGACAGACAAGGCTTCACTTGCTTGCCTGCTGCTCGCCTCCTGCTGTGCATCCTGGTTCCTAACAGGCCACAAACCAGTACTGGAGTTGGGGACCCCTGCTCTAGATGAAATGCACCTAACAAACATTTACAGAACCTTCCATCCAACAGCTGCAGAATACACATTTTTCTCAACAGCACATAAAACATTTTCCAGGATAGAACATGTATCACAAAACAAGTCTTAACAAATTTTACAAAATCAACATCATGTCAAGTGTTTTTTCTAACCAGAATGGAATGAAGCTAAAAATCAATAACAAAAGGAAATTATATAGGAAATCAATAACAGTTGGAAATTATACATATTCATGTAAATTAAACATACTCCTGAACAACAAATGGCTTAATGAAGAAATTAATAATGAAATTGAAAACCTCCTGAGACAAACAAAAATGGAAACACAATGTACCAAAACCTATGGAATAGAACAAAAGCATATAAGAGGAAAGTTTATAGTAATCAATGCCTACATCAAAAAACTAGAAAGACTTCACATAAACAAGCTAGTGATGTGCCTCAAGGAACTAAAAGAGCAAAAACAAAACAAACTTACAATTAGGAGAAAAAAGAAATAAAGAGCAGAGCAGAAATCAGTGAAATTGAGACTTTAAAAAATACAAAAGATAAATGAAAGAAAAAGTTGTTTTTAAAAAAAAATAAACAAAATCAACACATTTTTAGCTAGACTAAAAAAAGAGAGAAGACTCAAACAAAATCTAAGAAGAAAAAGAAGCCATTGCAACTAATACCATAGAAACAAAAAGATCATTAGAGTCTATTATGAACAACCATAACCAATAAATTGTAAAACCTTAAAGGAAAATAAATAAGGTCCTGGACAAATTCAACCTACCAAGATTTAACCATGGAGAAACAGGAAATTTGAACATGTCAAGAATGTTAAAAATAAATAAATAAATAAATAAATAAATAAATAAATAACATGTTAGTGAGTAACAAGACTGAATCAGTAATAACAAGTCCCCCGTCAGAGAAAAGCCGATGGCTAGATGGCTTCACTGCTCAATTCTACAGAACACTTAATGAAGAACTAATTACCAATCCTACTCAAACTATTCCAGAAAGTCAAAGAAGAAGGAATACTTCCAAAATCATTCCATGAGGCCAGCATTGCCCTGATAGCAAAACCAGGCAAGGAGACACACACGCACACAAAACATAAAACTACCGGCCAATATCCCTGATGAACATAGTTGTAAAAACCAACAAAATGCTAGCAAACTGAATTCAAGAACACATTAAGATCATTTACCCTGATCAAGTGAGAATCATCCCAGGAATGCAAAGATAGTTCAACGTACACAAATTCATAAATGTGATACATCACATTAACAGATTCAAGAACAAAACCATATGATTATTTCAACAAACAATGAAAAGGCATTTGACAAAATTCAACATCCCTTCGTGATAAAAACATTCAACAACCTAGGTGTAGAAGGAACATACCTCAAAACAATGAAGGTTATATAAGACAAACCCATGCTAATATCATACTGAACAAGGAAAAACAAAGCTTTTCCTCTAACGTTTGGAATAAGACAAAAATGTCTACTTTCACCACTCCTCCTCAAAGTAATAATGGAAGTCCTAGCCAAAGCAATTAGGCAAGAGGATGAAATAAGGGGCATCCAAATTGGAAAGGAAGAATTCAGATTATCCTTATTTGAAGATGACCTTATCTTATATTTTGAAAAACCTAAGGATTCCACCAAAAAACTGTTAGAGCTGATAAATGAATTCAGTAAATTTGCAGGCTGCAAAATTAGCATAGAAAAATCAGTAATATTTCTATACATCAATAGCAAACGCTCTGGAAAAGAAATCAAGAAAGCAATTCCATATACAGTAGCTACCTTAAAAAAATACTTAAGAATAAACTTAACCAAAGAAGTGAAAGATCTCTATAATAAAAAATACAAAATGCTTTTCAGTCAGGCTGAGTTGTTCTTTGTATCATGTCTAGTGACTCCATGGATTATAACAGAAAACATGGCAGCCCAAAGGGAATGGATCCAATGTTGTCATCAAGAGCAACTGAAATGAGATTGTTAACTTTGATAGTATGAATTTAAAGGAGTCTCTTTTAGGGGTATTCCATGTTTGTGGTTTTGAGAAGCCTCCAGCTATTCAGCCCAGAGCTATTGTTCCTTGTATTAAAGATCCAAAACGTAATTCTGGCACTTGGAGACTATATGGGAGAAACTTGTCGTGCCTGTATTGGTGGAACAAATGTTCAAAATTAAATGCAAAAACTGTAGGCAGAAGCACCACATACTGTTGCTAGTACACCATGGAGAGTGTTTGATATGCTAAACATAAGATATTTTTCTCCAAGGTGGATCAAAATGTTTGTTTTGGATGATGCAGATGAAATGTTGAGCTGAGGGTTTAAGGATGAAATCTATGAGATTTTCCAAAAATTAAATAGAAGTATTCAGGTTGTGTTGCTTTCTGCCACAATGCCAACTGATGTGTTGGAAGTGACCAAAAAAATTCATGAGAGATCCAGTTTAAATTCTGGTGAAAAAGGAAGAAGGAATCAAACAGTTTTACATTAATGTTGAAAGAGAGGAATGGAAGTTGACTACACTTTGTGACTTGTACGAGACACTGACTATTATGCAGGCTGTCATTTTTCCCAATGCAAGGTAATGCAAGGTATGAGGTGGACTGGCTGACTGAGAAAATGCATGCCAGAGACTTCATAATTTCTGTTCTGCATGGTGACATGGACCAGAAGGAGAGAGATGTTATCATGAGGGAATTCTGATCAGAGTCAAGTGGTGTTCTGATCACTACTGGCTTGATGGTTCACGAGACTGATGTGCAACAAGTGTCTTTGGTTATAAACTATGATCTAACTACCAATAATGAAAACTGTATTCACAGAATTGGCAGAGGTGTGGCTATAAATTTTGTTACTGAAGAGGACAAAATAATTCTTCATGACATTGAGACTTTCTACAATAATACAGTGGAAGAAATGCCCATGAATGTGACTAACTTTATTTAATTCCTGGGATGAGATAGTTCAGGATGCAGTGCTCACTGTTGCCAAATAGGCAACCACAACATGCATTGTGCTTCTTTCTTTGGGAATATTTGAGTCTTATCTCAATGCTCAAAACAGATCATGGGGCGACATTAGTCATGAGCTCTTGTGAGGAAAGTCATTGGCTTTATCCTCTTTAATGTTAGACTATTAGGGTGGGTATAAAAGATGGTGTCTGTAAAAACTTTCTTTCTTAGAAATTTATTTCCTAGTTCTGTAGAAATGATTGTAGTAGATGTTCTCTATCATTTAGTAATATACTTGTGGACTAAAAGATATAAGTGCTGTATAAAATCAGTAAATTATGTTAAACTAGCATATCTGCCTTTATTGTGTTTTTCATTAGCCTGAGTAGAAAGGCCTGTAAAATTGACTTTTTAGAAACCATTTGAATTCATTTTGTCTGATATTGTAATTATTCAATAAAACATTTAATTAGTGCTAAGCGTGAACTGCACCCTGCTGCTAACCCCCAGCAAGCAATCATCCTAGTTTGGGCTTAATCCCCAGTAAAATTGCCATATTGCCCATGTCTTAATGAAGTTTGAATGTTAAATAAATTGTAAATTCACTTTAAAAAAAAACCACAAAACACTGATGAAGGACATTGAAGAGGAAACAAAAAAATGGAAAGCTATCTCATGCTCATGGATGGGAAGATTAATATTGTCAAATGCCCATACTGCCCAAAATGATTTATAGATTCAGCAAAATCCCCATCAAAATACTAATGACATTCTTCACAGAAAGAGAAAAAAATCTAAAATGTATATGGAGCTGATAAAGACCCTGAAGAGCCAAAGTAATCCTGAGCAAAAAGAACAATGTTGGAGCCATCACATTACCTGACTTCACAATATACCATAAAACTATAATACTCAAAACAGGATGAGAGAGATTGACATAAAAACAAACACATAGACCAATGGAGCAGAACGGAAAATCCAGAAATAAATCTATGCATTTACATCCAACTCATTTTTAACAAAGATGCCAAGATCCTACAATGGGGAAAGGATGCCCTTTCAATAAATGGTGCTAAGAAAACTGTATATCCATATTCAACATAATGAAACTAGTCCTCTATCTCTCATCACTTTCAAAAATTAAATCAAAATGGATTAAATACTTAATGTAAGACCTGAAACTATGAAACTACTAGAAGAAAACATTGGACAAATGCTTCACAACATTGTTCTGGGTAAAGATTTTATGGAGACCTCAAAAGCACAGACAATCAAAGCAAAAATAGATGAGATTACATCAAACTAAAAAGCTTCTGCATGATAACGAAAACAATCAACTCAAAAGAGTACCGGAATGCAAGAAAATATTTGCAAACTATACATCTGACAAGGCATTAATAACCAGAATATACATAAGCAACTTTAACAACTCAACAGCAAGAAAACAGTTAATCCAATGAAACAATGGCCAAATGATCTGAATAGACATTTCTCAGAAGAAAATATACTAATGGACAACAAGTATATGCAAAAATGCTGAACAGCACTAATCATAAGGGAAAAGCAAATCAAAACCACAATGAGATATTATCTCACCCCAATTAAAATGGCTGTTATCAAAAAGAAAAAATACAGATACTGGCAAGGATGGGGGAAAGGGGAACACTCTAAACCATTGGTAGAAATGTAAATTAGTACAGCCAATATGGAAGTTCCTCAAAAAACTAAAAGTAGAACTACCATATAATCCAGAAATCCCACTGCTGGGTGCACAACAAAAATAAAAAAAAATCAGTATAGCAAAGAGATATCTGCATTCCCATGTTTATTGCAGCACTATTCACAATAGCCAAGATATGGATTCAACTTAAGTGTTCATTAATGTATAAATATATAAAGAAAATGTGGCATATATACACAGTGGGGTACTGTTCAGCTATTGGAAGAGGAATGAAATCGTGTCATTTGAAGCAATATGGATGGAACTATGGAGGCTATTACGTTAAGTAAAATAAACCAGGCACAAAAAAAAAAAAAACATGTTATGTTCTCACTTATTTGTAGAGCTAAAAAAGCTGATCTCATGAAGATAAGAGTGTAGAATGATGGTTACCAGAAACAAGGAAGAACATGAGGGAGTGGCAATGAAGAGAGATTCATTAACAGTTATAAAAATACAGCTAGTGAGAAGGAATATGTTGTGGGGTTTGAAAGCACAGTAGAATTACTATAGTTAACAAGTATTTATTTTATATTTCAAAATAGCTAAAAGAGAAGATTTGAAATATTTCCCAACACTAAGAAATGATAAATACTTGAGGCAATGAATATCCTAATTACCCTGACTTGATATTACACATTGTGTACATGCATCAAAATATCACATGTACTCTCTGAATATGTATAATTATATACCAATTTAAAACTGTAATAAAATGCATAATTTATAGAATATTAGAAATAGAAAGACCCATGAGGTCCATGTAATACCAAGTTTCATATCACAAATGAAAAATCTCATAAAAGAGCTTTCCTACTTGCCTGAGGTCAACAGTTACTAATGGCAGAGCCATGACTAGACCCTAGAATCCCAGATGCGTAACCTGCTGTTGAGTTAGTTCATTACACATTTCATGAGCTCAAGTTGCAATGAATGTCTGCCTTCAACAACTCACTGGAAAAATTTTTCTCGAATACAACATCAGTAAGTCTCTGTTGGGTAGAGGAAAGGAATGAGAATACACACTTGAAATCCCCAGACAACAATTTTCTACAGTGACCACAGAAAAGAGCTGCCTGGAAACCTTGCCTTAGTTGATAGACACTGGAAATTTTTTCCAATATTTTCTCTAGTTGGGTTCAGTTTAAGAGGAACCACTGGGGAAATTCCACCTCTTTGGAGGCTCATTAATTTTAAAGAGATTTCATAAAGGATACTAAATAATCTGACCAAATTCGGCAAGACTGGACTCTGAGTAAATCTATCAGAGTCTGTTTTCTATCATTGAGAAGATGCAAGACTTCTCATTCAGGACTTGAAGTGTGATTATTCCATAGTATCACTCTTCCGAAGGAGGTCCCTCTCACCCTACTCCATCCTTAACCCAAATTTCGAAGATGTGATTCTTCTCCTGAATATCAGCATACAAAGGAAACTTCCCCATTGTCATCCAAATACTATGAGGGTATCATATACTGTCTGCTTGTCATTTCCAGGAAATGCTGACAACATGAAACTCATGGACCCTCATTCCATTATTCCCTGTAAGAAGATAGACAGAATCTCTCTGGGAGAGCTTCTTTCATCATCTATAGCAGGAATTCTTAGCACCTCAGCAAAATGTTAACCAGCTCATAAGTGAATTTGGTTAGGTGGCTGATGGAATGAAGCAAATTTCAAAGTGGTAAGGAAACGCCCTAAAAGACCTTTTTATTAGTTTGATTTTGACTTTTTTCTAAAAATAATAATAAAAACACACATTTTATAATGCTTTGTAACTGGTTCATATACATCAATATTGAATTTTTGTGGACAACAAATGAATTATCAGAGTAAGGATTACTATCCACTTTTACAGATACAGAAAAGGGAACTCTGATAAATGGTTGAATTTCCTAGCATCGCATGCCTAATAAATGTAAAGCAAGGATGGAATTCAAGTCTTTTGCCTTTTCTATCAGTGTTCTTTCTGTAGGACGATCCTGAAGAACATGGCATGGAACTCCTTTTTTTCAAGCAACATCATTAAATCATAAGCAGCTTCCTGGTGTTATGTGAAAAAAATTGTATTCTATGGTAAAATGGAGCTGGGAATTTCTTCAGGTAAAAGTAGGCTGGCTGCTTTACATCAGGACTTCACAAAACATTGAGCTAAGTGCATTGTTAATATCAGAAAAAGTGTGAATGTTTTCAGATTTGACACAAAGACTTTTATTTCTGGGACATCATGAAAAATTTATGTTGTAAGGAACACAATTTAGAAATGAGCTCCTCAGAGAATGTTTAAATTCTCTTATGCATTGTGTTCTCTTGCAAAGCTGAAATTGGTAATCATGCCTCATAATTCTCTTCCACATAGCTGAGCCCAAGACTTGAGTTCCTAACAAATACTCAATATTTGCCTGCTTGGTTAATTTATTAATAAGGTACAGTGGCTGTAGAGTCAAGATGAGGAGAGGTTTTTCTGGAAGTTCATAGAAGAAGCACCTATCACTGAGATGTGGAAAAATGAAGATCAGGGAAAGATGACACTTGAACTGAGCTCTGAAGGAAGAGTAGAAGCATGGAAGAGAACAATGTCCAAGGTGAAGGGGGTAGATGATGCAGAGTCCTCAGAGCAAGAGAGATCATGGCAAGGAACTGAATATTGGTTAATAAACATAGGGCTGCGAATGCAACAAGGAGAATGATAAAAGAATACCTACTAGAAATCAGGCAGTGCACTTAATAAGCCTTACTGTTAATCCTCACAATAACACTGTAGAGTAACTATATTATACTCTCTGTCAGTATAAACCTGAGATTCATAGAGAGTCATAATTTCATCCATAGTTCTAAAACTGGTAAATTACAAATCCAGGACTCAGATTCTTGTTGAGAGATCAAATGTCTCCTAAATGTGTGATCAACTAGGAATGGCACAGCGGTGAGTGCCATTAGAGAAAATAACTTGGGTAAGAAAAATATTGAGGAGTTATTAAATTATTCTACAAATGGCATTGTCTCCCTTACTTGTGTGCATAGCACTAGACTAAGCTTGGGCATGTGTTTCCACTATGCAGCAAGAATCATACTAATGTGCCCTTTCTGCATAGCTGTTTGCATGCTTTTAACTAAGTTCAGTGTAGATGAAAAGGATATATTGAAGGCACATCTATGTGCTCCACTCTCCGCTAACTAATACAATAGAATCTGAAATCTGGCCTCAGGTATGCCTATATGTAGCACATGCTTTTGGACAAGGCTTAATCTTGGTAAGCCTGAGTTTTCGCATGAAAGACATAAGGGGATAGAATTAAGTGCGTCTTGAGTTCCCTTAAAGATATAGAGTTTCTATTTTATATATTTTTTCTAAATGAGCATGCATTTAACATATTTGACTGGGCTTTTCTATGGTTCCATGGCTCCCTGACATTTTCAAAAGTCCTTCAGTTTTATATGTAAATGTTTATGTATTAGTAGTACACATAGATTACACATTGCAACACTGCCCATCAGCCACTGAGAGATAACTCCTACCTAGATGAGTTTCTCAATATTATCAAACTTATTGGTTCAACAAGTGTATCAACTGCTTAACTGCTGTGCTTCCTACCAACTGTTTATCAGCTGAATCCATCCCACCTAGGTTCTTCTTTGTTGCATGTAGTAAACAAAAATATAAAGACTGGACTGAGAAAAACCCCAATTTGTGTGGGGCTAAAACAATTAAATAGGCTAATTGGGTTATAGAAGGAGCCACTGAATATTGGCTTTGAAAGAAAGTTTAAAAGACATGAGATTTAACTTCAAATTAGTTCAAATATGATGAGGATACAGTCATAAACAAGACAGACATCCTTGACTTTATGGAGCCCAAATATAACCCTGACTGAAATTTTTATCAAACAGGCATTGCCAGGAGTTTGTTGTTTTAAGCATAAGCTGTCAGGGAAGCAATAAGGGCACCAAGAAATCAGTGAATTCTGTGGATGCTGAGGATGACAAGGTTGAAAATTTCTCTGACAACTTTGGGGAGGGTAACAGAATAATGAGAATAATAAATACTGCTTATATATTTGCATGGCCTTTTAGGTGATAAAATTTTTAATGTTTCATGCCATACTATAGGGTGATGCAGATCCAGAAGACAGAAATTTATTTGCACAGAGCTCTTCTATTGTTTTTTAATTTGACAAATGCAAAATAGTATGGAGATTCCTCAAAATATTAAAATAGAACTACCTTATGATCCAGCAATTCCACTACTGGGTATATATCCAAAGGAAATGAAAGCAGAATTCCAAAATATATCTGTACTCCTGTGTTCATTGCAGCATTATTCACAGTATCCAAGAAATGGAATTAACCCATGTGTCCATCAACAGATGAAGAGATAAAGGAAATGTAGTATATATGCACAGAGATCTTTTAGAAATGAAATAAGGGATGGGTCCAGGAAATATTTCTATTAAGAACTTTCAGGTGCCACCAACCCCTCACCCATTCTCCAGATAAAAATGTTGACATAAATGAAAATGTCATATATTCCATTCATGCCAATGGACAGGTTACTTCAAGATAAATGGCCAACAGAGTTGAAATTGCATGACAGAATCAATTAATTCTAGTTAAATACTTCAATAAGATAGAAATGTATACAAAGATTATATCACACATCTGGAATGATTAACCTAAAAATAATGATAATACTTATTATTACATTTCATGAAAAGCTGGGAGGAAATGTGTGTTTCTACCACACAATAACATTAGCTTCTCACCAATTTCTATTTTGATCAAACTCCAGAGTGCAGAATATAACTACCCAGTTACTTCACTGTATTTCATCTCACTGCATATCAAATGTCTTGCTACTAAGAAAAAAAGCAAATGTGTCATCCAAGTGTGAATATATGTCACAACTGATAATATTCAAGAAAATATATAGGGACTTTGAAAATAATTCCCAAAGGAGCCCCAGAAATGGTTTGAATAAGGTAAAATCATTGAAGTCCAAAGCCTTTGAAAGTGACCACTGGAAAGGAAAACACTACTTTGTAAGTATAAATTCTGATGTGTTTGGTTTTTAATAGGTTATAGCCTCACATTGAACATGTGTGCTGATTTTTCCTTGCAACCGCTCCATTGTGATATTTTAGCACACATTGAGCTCTCCCAATGCTACATGTTTTGCTTTATTGACAGCTTATGTTTTTCACCAAATATTGGCTGCTCCCAATATTGATCATTTGATGTTCACGTCTTAGTAAGATAGAATCATTTTTAAATGCCTTTCTGGGTCAAAAACTATCTTATTTGTTTTTTTGTTTGTTTGGTGTTTGTTTGTTTGTTTGTTTGTTTAGACGGAGTCTAATGGAGTGCAATGGCTCGATCTCGGCTTACTGCGACCTCCGCCTCGCAGGTTCAAGCGATTCCCCTGCCTCAGCCTCCCGAGTAGCTGGGACTACAGGCATGCACCACCACGCCCAGCTAATTTTTTGTATTTTAGTAGAGACGGGGTTTCACCATGTTGGCCAGTATGGTCTCGATCTCCCGACCTCGTGATCTGCCCGCCTCAGCCTCCCAACGTGCTGGGATTACAGGTGTGAGCCACCGCGCCCGGCCTCTGATTTGGTTTTGACGATATATAATTACAAATTTTCTACTGAAATCTCACTTCCATTTTGTTCTTCCTTTTCTCTCTTACTCTTCTTCTTATTTAAGGTCTAGCAGAGCAACTGCGAGATCTAGGAGGCGCCTCACTCTCTACTCTGGAAAAGATAAGAACTGAAGAGTAAATAAATACCTGAGAGAAACACATCACTGCAAGAAAAGAGGCAGAAGTGCAGGTACATTCATTGGAACTATGTCTCAGAAATAGTACATATTTGAAACATTTAACCTTCATAAATTTTTTATAAGGATCCATATTCATATCCTCAATTATACATTAGGGAACCAAGGCTCATCAAGTAATGTGGTCAATGCAAAAATTAAATTAGTAAGTGAAGAAACTGGGTTTCACACCCATATCTAACTTCAAAATCCATGTGACTGACACTACCATCCTTCCTTGCCAACACTAGTTCAGATACCAAAGGATAAAAGTAGACTTTTAATTTATTATATGATTGCAAAATTGTGTATGCTCATTATAAAATTTGTAAAAACAGAAAGCCATAAGCAAAAAGATCCACAATCCCACCCACCTAGCAATACCCATTGTTAATATTTTGAAGTAGGTTCTATTTTTTATGAATGATATAATTATCTTTTAAGTAAATCATGATATAATGCTGTTTTATAATCTGCTTTTTTATGAACCTTCCCAATCTGCTTATTTTTCCACAATGTCATTTTTAGACAATTACACATTGTTCCACAAAATTAATAGACTACAATTAATTTAAGCATTCTAAATTGATATTTAGGTTGATATGATTTTTTACTATTATAATGAAAACGATGACAAACATTCTTGTCAATGATTTTATGAGCATGTTTAGTTTATAAGAATAAATTTGTAAAGCAATATTGCTGAATCAAAGTGCATGCATTTCTTCAAGTCTTTCACTATATTACCAAATTGTATTTCACAAATTTTTACAGCAATTTATACTTTCACCAGCATATTTGGGAATACATCTCTCCTTGCAACTTTAATAACACAAGGAATTATCATTTTTCCATTGCTATTAGTTGATAAACAGAAAAGAGGATTCCATTTTCTTTAATTGTATATTTATTTGAATATATACAAAACAATTTGTATATATTTGTTTGCTTTTGCATGTTTCTTTTTTGAATTTCCATTATTTGTTTTTCTGATAGGTTTTTTATCTGAATTGTCACTTGCTATTCAATTTGCTTATTGTGTTTTTGCCTACAAAACTTTAACATTTTTATTCTGTTGCAATATCAACATTTTTTTGTACTCTGCCCTTTCCTCATTTGGTTATAAATGTTTATCTACCCTGAAATCTGAAAAACAGTTAATCTACACTCTCTTCTAGTTTTCTTTTACTTTTAAAAATATTTGAAACCTAAGTCCATTAGAAATAAATTTTGAAACTTTTTTTTTTTTTTTTTTTTTGAGACGGAGTCTGCTCTGTCACCAGGCTGGAGTGCAGTGGCCAGATCTCGGCTCACTGCAACCTCCACCTCCCAGGTTCAAGTGATTCTCCTGCCTCAGACTCCTGAGTAGCTGGGATTACAGGCGCGTGCCACCACACCCAGCTAATTTTTGTATTTTTAGTAGAGACGGGGTTTCACCATGTTGGCCTGGATGGTCTCGATCTCTTGACCTTGTGATCCGCCCGCCTCGGCCTCCCAAAGTGCTGGGATTACAGGCATGAGCCACCATGCCCGGCGAAACATTTAATCTTTATACATTTTCTGTAAGGATCCATAATGTCTATGCATTAGGGTTAACTTCCAAAATGATTCCCTCATTGTCCTAATGCCATATTAGGAAATTGATCCTTTCTAATTGATTTGAAATGGTAAAAATATTTAATATACTTCACATTGAATGTGTACTCTGTGCTGGGACTGTTCTAAGTACTTTCACAGAATAATTTGTTCAAGTCTCACAACCTGAGAAGGTAGGTAAGTGTATTTTCACTTCTATTTTACAGATAATGAAACTTAATGCACGTAGTAGATAGTGACAATATATTATAATAAAGTGATGAAGGAAAGAGACCCTGGAGTCAGTCTACTTATGTTTAAATTCCCATTCCAACACCTACTATCTGTGTGATCTTGGGTAAGGTAGTTAACCTCCCTGTGCATCAACTTCTTCATCTGTAAAATAGTTATAAAAACCCTTTTATAGAGGGCCATTATGAAATGAGTTAATAAATGTAAAGTGCATAGAATAATGTCTGACACAATAAGTGCAACAGAACAGCTAGCCATTATTAGTGAGTCTTCCTATTCAATTATTCAGGATCTGTAGTGCTCTACAAGTACCATTGTGATTTATGATATGATAATATATAACATATTTTATAACTTGTTTGTTACACATCTTAATGTAATGTGATAAAAGTTTCACTCTGTTGTTTCACTCTTTTCAACTTTTTTTGTATTTTTACTTGCTTGTTTTTCTAGGGATTTTGATAGGATTTGCATAGAATCAATACATTATTTCAGAGTCAATTAACGTCAAAATATTGAGTGAGTTTTTCCATCCAGGCACATATGTGCAAAATTTAGTAGTTTTCTTCAAATCATTCTACTTGTTATTTATTGTTTCTTCACTGGTGTGTTATTTATCATTTATTCATTCATTAAGTTTGGTTGTTTTGGGGGAGAAGAACATTTTCTAACAGTATCATTGATTTAAAAAAAGAAAGGAAGAGTGTGCTGTGATTCAAAGCATAAATTACATAATTACCTTAATGATTTTACTTTGATTTAAATGATATGAGTGGACATTTATTCATCAACCTTTTGATATAGAGTCAAGAGGCTTACACTGAGTTTGTATTACCTGAAGTCAAAAGCTTTCTTGCCTGGATCATGTATTAATTCCAGTTTTAGCTTTTTTAACATAAAGTGAAAATTAGATTCATATCAAATATGAATATAAAATTATTCAAAATGTTATTACTTTCCCTCCTTGCCTATTATAATGGTCTGGCTCACACCTTATTCCACAGCAATTATTAGCAACTTGTAATTATCAAGTATTTCTCAAGCATTGAATTATTAATTTTCATTAAATATATATTCACAATAACACTTTATTTGATTTTGTAATATTTAATAAAATTACATAAGTACAAAAATAAATGCACATGATATAAGCAGGGTGTGCAAAATCCAACCAATTTACATACATGCAAGTCAACTTCTGGGTGTAGGAATGTTTATACATTGTGGAGAGCAAGCTCAGATCTCCTGTGTTCAGAGTGTCAGGTTTAGCATATAGTATGTTGTACAGAGAAAATGAGGAGTATTGACTTATCAGATACATCAGTTAAGTGACGATTAGTTAAAAGACTCTCTATTATATTTCATTTGGAACTAAACACCATGAAGACTATCTTATTCGTCCTAACTTCTTCAATTTATTCTGTTGTGTTTTTGGTTAGACAACCAAATCTGCATCTTTTTAAATTTTATTGCATTGGTTAAGTTCTAAAATACAGTGCTAAACAAAAGTGGATGCTAGCCTTTCTATGTCACTATATTCATATGTGATTGAATTTTTTTCATTTGTGAATATGAGGCTGTCTCTACTAGAACATAAACCCCATTTAGATTTATTTTCATAAATATTTGCTTTTCTCAGTTTACTTTAACCTATTTTATCTTGTAAGCTTGCTCACAGTTTTCTTTGTTTCTTTTGTTCTCTATGCTATATTTACTTTTTTAAAATCTTCTGATCATTTGGAATGGATATGCTGGTTTTTATTCTATTGATGATTATTATTCAGAAATATGTTTGAAATATGTGTTTGGATATATATGGTTGTGACTAATTTCTCTAGTCACATCTAAATAAAATATTTATGGAGTCTTTTTGTACATAGGTTTAGGAAATTAGCATATTTTCATTTCTCCCATCCCTCCCTATCAGTTTTTCTATTATATAAATTGTGGTTTTAAATATACATAATTATTTTAGTTTTCATATTTTATATTATGCACATCTTTAAAAATTATTCTCAGCAATTCTTTTTTGCTTTTAACAATATTTGCACTATTTAATATTAAATACATATTTTATTATTTGCTTTTCCAAAGCATATTATTTTACATTACAACTTTCCCAACCTTAAAGTATATGTTCTGATTACTCTGATTAATCATGCAGCAACTCATAGTCTTTGTTGAGGGATTTTTAAAATTATATTTAGAATGAAATAATTCCTAAGCCCTTCCAAATCTGAGAAAGTCTTTCTGTTGCTTTTGAACATAAATCACTAAGGCTTTGATACAGAATTCTTTCACTCCAATTTGTTTTTCTTAAAATTCTGTAGATATTTTGTATTGTCTCTTAAATTTTTGTATTAAAAATAAAGTTGTAGTCTAACCTGAAAGTGCTTAATTCACAGGTATTTTTAACTTCCCAGATGCTTGCAAAGGTCTTTCTTATTCTCTTGATTATGTTAATGCATAATTCAATTGTGCTATTGCATTTTTAGTTTCCTCATTGTCTTTTCTTATCTCAGGAAGCTCCACTTTAATTTTAACCTGACTCTGTTCACTTCCCTTTCATTTGAAACTATTTGAGTCCAAAAGTTTAGCTTCCTGTTGGAAATTTAGATAAAATGTTCAAAAGAGAGGAAATATATGAAGAGTACATATCAGAAAAGATTGTAACAATGGGTGTTTTCCTACTTGTATGTGGAGTCAAAATAACTGAATGTAAAGTGAATAACTTATAGCCATAAAGCAATGGAAAGAACAAAGGATTGATTCAGAACAACAAGAATAACCTTTGCAGACATAATGTTGAAGCCAGTTACAATAAAGTACATGCTTTAGCATTTCATATATAAGTTGAAACATAGTTACATCAATCTGTAATGATAAAAGTCAAAAAGTGGTTACTTTTGTGAAGCATAAAGACTGAGAACATGAAGGATGTTTGTAGGTCACTGGAATCGTTCTATTTCTTAATCTTTGTAGTGGTTATACTGGCGTATTTACGATGTTAAAATAAATAAACAAATCAAGCTTCACACTTAGGATTTGTGAATTCCTCCACATGTATGTTATATTTCAATGAGAGTGCTTACTGAAAAAAGTAAAAGACAAATTCATTTATCTAATTTTAAAATATGTGCAACCATACAACTCTTCACTGTAATTAAATACAAGCAAAATAATTAAGTCTTATCAATTGGATTGAAAATATCGGGGTGGGGGGAGATATTTCACAAGGAACATCTACATGTGTCTACATGTCTTGCCCCCAGGAATTTCTGCAGATGACTGTCTATCCCATTCATGAGGATTTCCAAGGAAAAGTATACCAAACCCTATATCGTGAATTCATTCTCATGCACCGTGATTGGAAACTAGCTACTAAATAGTTAATTCCAAATAAAATTGTACACTCCTGCTTTTACTAAAGAAATAAAGCGGCCGGGCGCGGTGGCTCACGCCTGTAATCCCAGCACTTTGGGAGGCCGAGGCGGGCGGATCACGAGGTCAGGAGATCGAGACCATCCCGGCTAAAACGGTGAAACCCGGTCTCTACTTAAAAAAATACAAAAAAATTAGCCGGGCGTAGTGGCAGGCGCCTGTAGTCCCAGCTACTTGGGAGGCTGAGGCAGGAGAATGGCGTGAACCCGGGAGGCGGAGCTTGCAGTGAGCCGAGATCCCGCCACTGCACTCCAGCCTGGGCGACAGAGCGAGACTCCGTCTCAAAAAGAAAAAAAAGAAATAAAGCAACTCAGCCAAGAAGAGCTCAGCGCGTCCTATTCTTTTGCATAAGACATGCCTGTGGGGAAACTTGTCTTCAACCAGTCTGAGCCCACTGAGTTTGTGTTCCGTGCGTTCACCACAGCCACTGAATTCCAGGTTCTTCTCTTCCTTCTCTTCCTCCTCCTCTACTTGATGATCCTCTGTGGCAACACAGCCATCATCTGGGTGGTGTGCACACACAGCACCCTCCGCACCCCGATGTATTTCTTCCTGTCCAACCTGTCTTTCCTGGAACTCTGCTACACCACCGTGGTAGTACCCTTGATGCTTTCCAACATTTTGGGGGCCCAGAAGCCCATTTCGTTGGCTGGATGTGGGGCCCAAATGTTCTTCTTTGTCACCCTCGGCAGCACGGACTGTTTCCTCTTGGCGATCATGGCCTATGACCGCTATGTGGCTATCTGCCACCCGCTGCACTACACCCTCATCATGACCCGCGAGCTGTGCACGCAGATGCTGGGTGGGGCCCTGGGCCTGGCCCTCTTCCCCTCCCTGCAGCTCACCGCCTTAATCTTCACCCTGCCCTTTTGCGGCCACCACCAGGAAATCAACCACTTCCTCTGCGATGTGCCTCCCGTCCTGCGCCTGGCCTGCGCTGACATCCGCGTGCACCAGGCTGTCCTCTATGTCGTGAGCATCCTCGTGCTGACCATCCCCTTCCTGCTCATCTGCGTCTCCTACGTGTTCATCACCTGTGCCATCCTGAGCATCCGTTCTGCCGAGGGCCGCCGCCGGGCCTTCTCCACCTGCTCCTTCCACCTCACCGTGGTCCTGCTGCAGTATGGCTGCTGCAGCCTCGTGTACCTGCGTCCTCGGTCCAGCACCTCAGAGGATGAGGACAGCCAAATCGCGTTGGTCTACACCTTTGTCACCCCCTTACTCAACCCTTTGCTTTACAGCCTTAGGAACAAGGATGTCAAAGGTGCTCTGAGGAGTGCCATTATCCGTAAAGCAGCCTCTGACGCCAACTGAAGGCTTAGGGGCACTGGGCTGGGTGTCTGTCTGTTGCTGTGTCAAAGAACTCTAAATGACACAGAACTGTAGTACTTTCTCACACTGTGCACTTGATGTTTCTTTTTTGCCATATTTGCCCCAAGTTCACAATTCATGCTCATTTTTCTGAAGTGCTTTGACTAAGATATGAAAATTTGGACAGAACTTACAGCGTAGGAATGCTAGTTTACTTAGCTCTACTTTAAGGATTTGCAGCTCACCTATGTCAATTGCCATATTAGGAACACCCCATACATACTGTGAATAAAGGCTGATAGGCATGCTGCCTCCTGGGGAGATGATGTAATTTACCCTGTGAAAGTTGCCTTAAGTAAGGAATATTCATAAAGACATATTTTGCTCAAATAAACACATTTTATTATTGTTTTGGGTATCAGTATATGACAAACAATAGCTTACTTAATGCATTAATTTCCTTTGCACCATACATCCCAACTGGTTGCTTTCATTTTCTTCATGCCAGAAAGGGGCTAGGAATTTTCTTTCATTGACTAATCACCTACTATGTACCAGCCTTGCTAGGGTATGGAGAATTACCTCTGGTCTATGCCAGCCCTGCCTGCATGAGCCCTCTGTGCTGGTGGCTCTCACACTAGTCTTTGCTGTTCCACCTTCCTCACGACCTCCTACACCTTCATGAGGGCTGCTGCTCACAGATCCACTGAGCAGGTAGCACTACTATGGCACTACTCCTACCTCAGCATAGTTTTGCAGCAGAATGGCTGTTACCTCTTCATGTACATGGGGTTGTGTTCCAACCCCAAATAAACCCTCAGGTAAAATCCACTTCCCTTTATGGTATTCACAGTGGACACCACACAGCTCAACCTTCTCATTTACACCCTGAGGAACAGCCAGGCCCAGAGGACTCCAGGGATAGTTCTTACAAGCAATTACCTCTCCCATAAGAGCTGAGGGAGGGTGCAATCTATCAGGTGAGGGTCTGGATCCAGATCATAAGCTGATTTTAATTAGCAGCTACAGGAAGAGAGTGAAGATATCTGCCAGTGGATATTAAACTGACCTAAGAAATTGTTATAACCTGGTGGGGCGCAGTGGCTCGCGCCTGTAATCCCAGCAGTTTGGGAGGCCAAGGCAGGCGGATCACAAGGTCAGGAGTTCGAGACCATCCTGGCCAACGTAGTGAAACCCCGTCTCTACTAAAAAAACAAAAGTTATCTGGGCGTGGTGGCATGTGCCTGTAATCCCAGCTACTTGCGAGGCTGAGGCAGGAGAATCGCTTGAACCAGGGAGTCGGAGGTTGCAGTGAGCCGAGATCATGCCACAGCACTACAGCCTGGCAACAGAGCAAGACTCCAACTCAAAAAAAAAAAGAAAAGAAAAAGAAATTGTTATAAACTTTTTGAATCCCATGTGGTTACGTTTACCAAAACCCATGAAAAGTTTCTATTCTTTAATTTTGGAATTCTTATTCTAAAAACATAACCTCAGAAAATTAACAGGATGTCAAACAAAACAAAATATAAGTGTGTTTCTTACATTTATAACATGAAAAGTGATTAAAATCTAATTTCCAACAATATTGGATACAGAAACACAGCATACTAAAATCACTAATATTTAGTAATAAAGGGCAATGTTTATCATTATACCTGTAAGTAATAAAATCAAGATTCAAGCCTGTATTTACCATAAAAGCCCAATTTTATAAAAATACGTACATGCATAATGAGGAATAGAAATACGCCAAAAAGTTAACAGTTGTTATCTGTGACGTAGAATTATGAATTTTCTAGTTTTCCTCTTTATTAATTTTCCCTGATTTCCAAAATAAGATTGTGTTCCTCTTATAATCAGAAATATAATTTCTAGAAGGAATCTGAGGTTCATGTAGGTTTATTTGGCATATAAACCTCCCATCATCATAGTTCAGATCCACTTTTTATATTTTTTCTAGATTAGGATTATTTTGGTGGGGGTTGGGGTACTTCTTTTTCCCTTTGAAATTGCTTTTGGAACTCCTAATTTTTAACCTGATTTCACACAATGATAAGGAGAAGAACTATAAAGTGTTACATATTCTGGGGACAGTCATTGGATTTAACAATACATTAGAAATGCCTTGCTTTTGATATGGTTTGGCTCTGTGTCCCCACCCAAATCTCATCTCGAATTGTAATCCCTATGTGCAGGGGACAGGGAACTGGTGGGAGGTGATTGGATCATGGAGGCGGTTTCCCCCATGCTGTTCTCATGATAGTGAGGGAGTTCTCACCAGATCTGATGATTTTAAAAGTGGCAGTTTCCCCTGTGCACACTCTCTTGCCTGCAGCAATGTAACATGTGCTTTGCTTTCCCTTCACCTTCCACCATGATTGTAAGTTTCCTGGGGTCTCCTCAGCAGTGTGGAACTGTGATTCAATTAAACCTCTTTTGTTTATAAATTACCCCGTCTCAGGTAGTGTATTTATGGCTGCATAAGAATGGACTAATACAGCTTCTAAGTACAGTAGTCCTCTCTTATCCAAAGGGAGTACTTCCAAGACCCCCGGAGAACATCTGAAACCATAGATAGTATCAAATCCTATACCTACTATGTTTTTTACCTACACATACATACTTACAATAAAATTTAGCTTATAAATTAGCCGCAGTAAGAGATTAACAACAGCAACAATAAAATAGAACAATTATAACAATATACTATAATAAAAGTTATGTGAACGTGGTTTCTCTCTCTCTCTCTCAAAATATCTTAATGTACAGTACTCCTCACCCTTCATAATGATGTGAGGTGATATCATGCCTATGTGATTAGATGAAATGAGGTAAATAACACAGGCATTATAACACAACATCTGGCTACTATTGACTTTCTGATGGCCAGAAAAAGGATCATCTGCTTGGGGTGATCTTGGATCATCAAGCTATGACGATGTCCATGGTTGGATTTCAGAAGCATAAAATGTTATACAGTGTGGATACACTGGACAGAGAGATAATTCACATCCCAGACAGGACAGAATAAGATGACAAGAGATTTTGTCACACTACTCAGAAAGTCAGACAATTTTAAACTTATAAATTGATTATTTCTGAAATTTTCTATTTAATATTTTCAGACTGCAGCTGAAACTGGAAAGCAAAACTGCAGATGGAGGGAAGTAGTGAAGACCACTGTAAATGCTGGAGAAGAAAATAAACTCTCTAGTTAGCAGATTGCATGTCAACCT
The DNA here is from genome assembly GCF_000001405.40 of Homo sapiens. Lineage (NCBI taxonomy): Eukaryota > Metazoa > Chordata > Mammalia > Primates > Hominidae > Homo > Homo sapiens. The sequence continues at coordinate 58,224,679 of NC_000011.10, read as the reverse complement.
ATCCAGGCCAAGTCACATCAGAACATAATGAATCAATTATTTGTATACATTGTGCTAGGCACTGTCTGGAATGCCAACAAAAGAGAAGTTTGAAACTGAATTTTCATACCTTCTTTCATTCTTTATTTAATGTCACAAGTCATTCATAAAATTAACCTGGAACTCAAAAAGAAGAGGGTAAAATATTACACTTGAAAAGAGGGTTGATTCAACCTTTCAAATTGAATTATTGGGTTCTCCCAGTTACCTTCCTATACATATTCTAGATGAATAGAGTGAGTTCCCCTTTCTTATTTTTTCTTTTTTTATTTTTTAGTTGACAAGTAAAAATTGTATATATTTGTGGCATACAGCATAATGTTTTAATATATGTAGGCATTGTCAAATGACTAAATAAAGCTATTTAACATATGAATTATTCCAGACACATTATTTTTGAGGTGAGAATACTTAAAATCTATTCTCAGCCATTTTCAAATACACAATAAGGTATAATTAACTGTAGACACCATGATATACAATAGATCTCTTGAACTTATTTCTCTTGTCTAACTACAATTTTATGTCATTTGACAAACATCTCCCCAATCCTGTCACCCCAAGCCTCTGGTAACCATCTTTTTACTCTGTTTCTGTTAGTTCAACCTTTTTACATTACATATATGAGATCCTGCAGTATTTGTCTTTCTGTGACTGTCTTATTTCAGTTAATGTGATATCCTCCAGATTTATCCATGTTGTCACAAATGACAAGATTTAATTTTCCTCATCCACTTTTCTACTGGTGAACACTTAGGTTAATCTTATGTTATAGCTATTGTGAAGAAATGCTTCAATGTACATGGAAGAGCTCCTTTTCCTTACTGAAAAATTATTCCTTTATACGAGTCTTTCATTGAAATTGTTACATTCTAGAATGAGAATATTGAATGAAATAACAGTACACCACGAGTCAGATGATGGGACAGAAATGTTAATCAGTGATGTTTCTTTTGGGAAATGATGATCCCCTCATATCAAGGTAGCCTGTAGGTAGCATAAGTAGAAGACAGAACTCGCAAGAGTAGCTTAGCTTTCCTCCCCTGCAGGTTCACCACTTCTTTAAAAATTCTGCTCCTTTCAAAACCCTGCTCATTCCCTTCATCCAGCCATTTGGGTATGTGAATGTGTCGTTAGTGTTAATTGTCTTACAGAGAAGTATTTGCCAAGAAAGTAACCTCTCCCTCTACTGACATTCTCTTTCTATGTCTCTCTCATTGGAATTTTATTAAAATACATTTTATCAGGCAGTATAATTATTTGAAAATATGTCCCCCACTACTAAACAATAAGCACCTTGAAGCCAGAATACACTACAAAAGCATCACAGGTATGTTGTGACACTGGATTTCTTCATCTCTCTTCTGATTGTTTAATAGGTGAATGAAGGGTCAGACACAGTGGTGGAAGTAAAATGCTGATGTGAGATTCCTTCTCAGCATTTCTCAAAAAATATATATATTTTTAAAATCCAAACTCTGAGAAAAAGTAGTTGAGAAATCAAGAAAAATCAGAAAAAAATTAAAATTCTCCTGCAAGAACTAAATCGTAACAGTTAACATAGAGACGTTACTGATTCGGAGGAATCCACTCATGCCAAAGGTAAAGCAAGAGCAGAAAGTGATGACACATGCAGAGTCAAAGGCTAAGTCTTCGTTTCCAAAATCAGTACAAGAGCATTAGCGGAGAAGCAGTTACTGCCTAATCAGTCAGTCTTGCTTGTGGCTATTTTCATGTGTGTGTTCATGGCTCTGTCTGCTGTTAACAGTGAGTCATTCTTACAAGTAAAATGAATATTATTACTAAGCTTATACGCCTAGGATATTTTATGCAAATATGAGTGGTGTTGCAAGAAATAATACGTTTTGGAAGCAAATAAATATTTAAATTGCATCTGGAACTGGGAATCTATGTAGTGCAGTTTACCTGCCTGGGAGATATGAATGTTTGGTTATTTAAATACCACCTAATAATGTTCACAGTGAGTTTCCCAGGGCTTGGTTATTTGCTATCACCTACTATATGCTGTATATAATATAACCCTGATATTTATAATTATTAAATAAATTCTAGATATCTATAATAATGAGTAAAGAGTATAAATAATATTGAAAATATTTTAAGGATAATTTATAGTTTTGAAATTTCCCAAGAATTCTGATTTCTCATACCCACATTTTGACGATCTAGGAAACCATAGCATGAATGTATGTTTCTGCATATCTGTGTTGTCTAATTAGATCTAATGAGTGTAGATGGAGAGGTGACTAAATAAGGAAATGGTTGATTGAGAAAAGTTATTATACAACAGCACATTCTGGGCATTTTGTTTTGTGACTATTGGATGAGTCAAAAATAACCTGTACCATCAAGAATCTCAACAGATAATTTTATAGTGATGTCCTCCAACTTCCATCCTCTTCTCTCTCTGTCTCTTTCTCTCTCTCTCTCTCTCTCTCTCTCTCTCTTTCTCATTCTCATTCAGCAATGACTTTGAAAAACCACATTGTAAAATTAGAGGATCTGATGAAAATCACTAGAAGTTTGAAATGTGATGGTGATTATGGCTTGGGCCTATCTCTGCCCACTAGTTCCAACTTGAGAACTGTCCTAATTGCCTCTTTTTGGTTTCAATTTAGCTTTCATTAGAAGGGAAAAGTATGACACTCATAGTATTGGGGAAAATACGTTATTCAAAAGAGATGGGGCACAATTGGGATAGGGGATAACCATCCCCAGAGACCACAGAACACACATTTGATGATCTGTAAGAAACTATTTTATGAAGACCCATTTATGCCATAATACAACAATTCTTTCAATAAATACTTCTTTTGTACATTCACTTACTAATTTTGTTGTTGTTTGTTTGTTTGTTTGTTTGTTGTTTGTTTTTGAGATGGAGTCTCGCTCTGTCACCCAGACTGGAGTGCAGTGGCGCGATCTCGCCTCACTAAAAGCTCTGCCTCCCGGGTTCACGCCATTCTCCTGCCTCAGCCTCCCAGGTAGCTGGGACTACAGGTGCCTGCCACCACGCCCAGCTATTTTTTTGTATTTTTAGTAGAGACGGGGTTTCACCGTGTTAGCCAGGATGTTCTCGCTCTCCTGCCCTAATGATTCGCCCACCTTGGCCTCCCAAAGTGCTGGGATTACAGGCGTGAGCCACCGTGCCCGGCCTCACTTACTAATTTTTAAACAAATAATTCAACAAAATATACTATTTGCCAAAGTCTCTGATTCCATGGATCTAATGTTCATGAGAGGAAAAAAGATAAATAAATAAATAAATAAATACACAAGGGCTATAAAAACAAGCAGGAAATTGGGGCAAGTGTTTAGGACAAGGTAGAGAATGTTGAGGGATAGTAAATTTGAATGGAGAAGAGGCCATGTCATATTTCAGAAACTGGATTATATGTTTGGTGTTCATTGACAAAAACATGATATATCTGCTTTCAAAAATTTACAGACAATTGGGAAAATGGACATAGCTATAAGTCAATCTTATTTTTCTCTAAAGAAGAATAATATATGCAAGAAGACCGTGATGTAAGAAATGCCAAATGCCTGATTTGAGATACATTTTGATAAGTCCTTCTGTGCATTCTACAAGAGAGATTTATATTTCTTTCTATGACTGATGAGGTCCTCTTAGTAATCTTGGCTCCAAAATATCTAAATTGCCAACTACCTTCCACACTCACATACCAGGCCCCACGCCTCCAGCAGATAGTCCTTATGGTTATAATACATAAGTGCCTCCAACTGGCGTGTTCTTTCCTGGGTCCTCTTACTCCTGAGAAACTGCCACATGTCTGGATGTTCCTGTCCTGTCCAATGTCTGTGCATTCACTTCCTGTTAGACTGTCTGTCTGCGAGGATGACAGCTTCACTGCGGACATTATCATAGGTAAGAGCATCCTTGGCTCCACTCTGCCTCCCTAATTCTCCCTGGAGAATCCCAAGAAAGACAACATCCCAACCTCCACTTATCTGAAAAAAATATGTAAGGCAGAAAACGATTTTACGCTGACTCTGATGTTATAGTAGAGTCAAACTCTACCTGAAACAAAATGAAGAAAATGGTAGGCTTCTTTTGTTCTTATTAGTATTTTAATTGAAGTGTAAATAACATACACTAAAATGCACAGATCTTCATTGGTTCTGTTTGATGTATTCAATAATGAAATATTTTCATCATTCTGGAAAACTCCCATTTCCCTTTCCAATCAATTCTCCTTCCTGCCTTGATCAACCACTATTCTGACTTCCATCACAAAGATGAGATTTGTCCATTTAAGAATTTCTAGAAATGAAGTAATACAGTATGCATTCTTCTGAGTTTGCCTTCTTTCACTTAACATAACGTTTCTGAGATTTATACAGGTTGCTTTGTGTTGCTGCAGTTCATTCTTTTGTATTTCTAAGTAATAGTCCATTATATGAATCCAGCAAAATTTGTTAACCAAATTTCTTTATCCATTGTGAGCTTGGTTTTAATATCTATTTGTTAACCAAATTTCTTTATCCATTGTAAGCTTGGTTTTAATATCTCCTTCTCTCCCTCTCTCTCGTTCTCTCTCTCTCTCTTTTGAGCTTAACACCTAAAATGGGCACTTATCATTAGATGATTTTCTGACTGACCCGCATATTTCAGTTCCTCCCCACCCCCATCCCTCACTGTCTCAGAGCCTAACACACCTTTGTCTTAACCAGGCCTTTCTGGAGATATTTTGTTGTCAGTGTTTATCTCAAATCAGCTAAGAGAGGAGGCTAGGATTGTCAAGCTCTTAAATTATCCTCCCTAGTATGCTGACCTCTCTGGAGTAAAGAAAAGTTAATATTTAATGAGCTACTGACTATGTGCCAGTGATGCAGGACAGGCCTAGCCTGGGAGGGTCCTTGGCTTTGCCAAGGAAAGGATTCAAGGGCAAGCTGATGGGTTAGACAGCAATCTTTATTGAATGGCACTGCTCCTTGCTGAGCAGGGATAACTCATAGGTAATGCACGCAGATCAACAAAGTATGAGTTGTTGGTAACTGTATTTATAGTCACTTATACCCACTTTCAATTTAATGCTAATTAAGGGGCTGGTTAATACAAATTGAGAGGCAGGTTATTTTGAACTTTCTAGGAAAGAGACGGCTCATTGCATCTGGCTCATTGCTATGGAAATGAGTGTTAACTTCCAAGGTTGTTGCCATGACATTTGTAACTAGTCATGGCACTGTAAAAGTGTCTTACGCTAATGAGCAATGAAGACAGCTAGGGATTGCTGTAGCCACCATTTGCTGGGTTCAGCCAGTTTCTTCACTTTTATCCTGTCTGGACCAGATCCTGTTTTGATCAGCAAGGATGTGACCAGAAAAGATGTCCTTCTGGTCTCCTACCTCATCAGAGACCAAGTTAGGTGTTGTGCAAACATCATCTCCAGTTTACTGATATGGTAAAGGGGGCTATGAGGAGTTAAGCCACATGACCAAGGTCATATACTCAGAACATAGCAAAGCTGGAATTCAAACCCAGTTCTGTCTCACGTCAAAGTCTCTGCTCTTTCTGCTACATCTACCTGCCTCCAGGGAACACTGCACTAGGAAATCTTCCAGTGAGTTTTCATTTTGGTTCTGCCAAAGCTCATCACCTGGTATTAACAAGTCACCCATCACTCTGGGGATCAATTTACTCATTTTTACCATAAGTAGTACTCTAGTTGAACTTTGTGGTGCCCTCCAGCTCTAGATTCTATGACTCTGTTCATGGAATCACTCTACATTGTGTACTTTGTGAGTGACTAGAAAGCATCTGGTTAGGAATTGGCAAATGAAAATTCAAACACCTTATCCTGATATTAAAAACTTGCCATGATCATGCCCCAAGTTACCTTAAAACTTTGTTTCTTACTCATTTATATAAACTTCAGCCTCAGCAATGTTAGACTCTTTACTGAACCCAGAACACATCATACATGGTCCCGCCACCCATAACATCCATCCACTTCAAAATCCCTCTCTGTGTCTCCCCATCTGTATAAACCCTGCCCATTTCAAATGCATAGCTCTAGTTCACTTTCTCAATGAAATATTTACTATTACTCAAGTCCACAGATATCTCTCTTCTCTGAATTTCTGTAGCACTTTTCCTACCATGCTTGATATCTGATGGCACCCATTATACTGGTCTCCACCTGATATCGGTACCTACAAGCTCTTGCTTTCTGTTCACATATTATATCTGCACATCAACTGTGAACTTCTAAAGGATAGAACCAGGATGTTAGTCATCATGACTCCCTATAATATGTAGGCCAGAACAGGGTACAGAGTGAACCCTAAGAAATGTTCCATTAATAAACACTGAAGAGATCAAATGCAGTCCGAGGCTCAGGAGATTTTTCAAAGTCTTTCTCTTTTGTCTGGTCAGAGTAGATGTAAAACATAAGAAAGGATAGTAAACAAAAAAAACCTTGAATTTCTTCTGAATAAATACTACAATGTGTTTGTGTAGCTTAATAAAATTGATAAGGTAATATTTCTAAAATGCAAACCATAACATTCAAAAATATTATAATTTGGAACTAAAATTCCAGATGATTTGAATCATACATAGAAGAGAGAGAATAAGAGAAGAAAGATGGTATTCTGAAATTTCATTCTGTTTGAAACAATGAAATATAATTCATGAATTTAATTGTTATTGGTTTATGTATGGTTCTTTAAAATATGTTTCTTTAACACTAATAGAATATGTATCACATCAATATATTTCAAGCTGATAGAAGAGGTAAAAGAAAATTAAACTCCATCAATCTAGTGATAGCCAAGAGAAGAAATATGAAATAGTTTTTAAAATGTAGTAAATGGGCTGAGCACGGTGGCTCACGACTGTAATCCCAGCATTTTGGGAGGCTGAAACGAACGGATTGGCTGAGGTCAGGAGTTCAAGACCAGTCTGGCCAACATGGTGAAACCCCGTTTCTACTAAAAATACAAAAAAATTTAGCAGGGCATGGTGGCATGTGCCTATAATCCCAACTACTCAGGATGCTGAGGCAGGGGAATTGCTTGAACCAGGGAAGTGGACGTTGCAGTTAGCCAAGATCATGCCACTCTGCTCCAGCCTGGGCCACAGAGCAAGACTTTGTCTCAAAAAATAATTTAATTAATTAATAATAATAATAAATAAAATGTAGTAAATGGAAAACATAAATCCAATGGATCAGTAACCCTATATATGTGAATTGCTTAGATTTATTTGTTAAAAGACTGAAATGCTCAGATTATGTGTTAAAATCCAGATACATGTTCATAACATGAGACACACTTAAGGTACTTAAAATAAATGGATCGACAGAGATAGAGCCAAGCAAGTACTAACTTTTTCAAAAAAGTAAATCTGACAATACTAGTATCAGACATAGTGGAATTCATAATAGCAATATTAAATAGGATCAAAAAGACTATTTCATGTTTACAAAAGTTTCAGTAAACCAACAAGTTCATTATGATTAATTATATCATATCCATAGTAACAACTTAGCAAGAATATTATTACCAAAAGGACAACTATTAGCCAATCTGACTCACCATAGATGTAAAAATATTACATAAATATTACCTAGCTAAATTTGACAGTGCAGCAAATGAATAATACATTATAGCCAAATTAGATGTTAAAAGCATAGGCTGCTGTAATATTAGAAAGTCAATTAATGTGAGTAACTACATATTAATCACTTTTTTAAAAATCTAATAATCTCAATAGATACTATAAAGGCATTTAGTGAAATTCAATATATACTTTAAATAACATTAAATATTTTTAAAAAATAAAGCTTAAAGTCTGACTGGTATGCTTATTAGCCCTCATTAAAACAGAATTTTGCTGGAGATACTAGTCAATGAAATAAAACCAGAAAAAACAAACAAGGAATCAAAATATTAAAAAATGAAGGTTGAAATTATCATTTTGCTGATGTTACTATTTTTCTCCTGGCAAAAGAAAATCAAGTTTGAACTATTATACTAACAAAAGAGTTTAGTACAGAAATATGATAATAACAAATAAATTCTACCCTTTTTCCTACATATCTGTAAACAAATTTACTTTAGCAAAAAACATCATGAGACACTCAAGAACAACTTAATAATCTATATGTTTAAAATAGAAAGAAAACTATAAAATGTCATTAAAAACATATAAGAAGACTTGAACAAATAAATGAAGAGACATTACAATTATAAACATTACAACTTGAAAAATAATTCATACCAAAGTCTATAGTAATATAGATTGTAATTAAGATGTGAGATGTGGGTTTTTTAAAGTAATTTTTATTTTTTATGCATAAATTTTTTATTTATTGATACATGTATTTTTATTGACACATTGTCCCCCATATTTTTGGGTAATGTGATATTTTGATAAACTCATATAATGTATAATAAGCAAATTAGGGCATAGGGATATCCATCACCTCAAACATTTATCTTTTCTTTATGCTGGGAACAGTAGAATTATTCTCCTTTAGCTATTTTGAAATATACAATAGATTATGGTTTACTATAGTCCCCCTAATGATTTATCAAACAATAGGTCTTATTTCTTCTATCTAACTGTATTGTTGTACCCATTAATCAACAACTCATCACCTCCATTCCATCTTCCCACCCCTGGGCCCTGGTAACCACCAATCTACTCTCTAAGGATGCGTGTTATTCTTGTGACTTACCATGGCAGTTACAGGTTTTGTTTCCAAGACAAGAGCTAAGTGGAAAAGCTCCAACCCCTTCAGAGGTTGGAATAGGAGACAGATACCTGCAAGTTCATCAAAAGTTGAACCATCACAACTGTGCCATACGCTCTGGGCTGAATCATTTATCTGATTATGTGGACTAAAAGAATGTAGAGGTCCAGGGCATCAAAGGGAAGAAATTTTTCTATTGATGAGCTTTCTCAGGGCACCTTTCATATCCTTATTCCTCAAGCTGTAGATGAAGGGGTTTATCATGGGTGTCACCACAGTGAATAGGACAGCACCAATCTTATCAGTGTCCTCAGGGTGAGTGGAGGAGGGGAAAAAGTACACGCCTACAATGGTTCCGTAGAACAGTAATACAACTGTCAGGTGAGAGCCACAAGTGGAGAAGGCTTTCCACTTTCCCTGTGTGGAAGATACTCTCAGGACAGCTCTGATGATGCAGACATAGGAAAAGAAGCTGAGTGTAAAGGGGAAGATGATAACTGATAAACCCACAATAAACAACACAAGCTCATTGATCAATGTATCTGAACAGGACAGTTTGAGCAGAGGGGCCAAGTCACAGAAGAAGTGTGGGAGAGTGTTGTGGTTACAGAAGAGCAATTGAATGAGCAGAAGGGTGTGTGTCAGAGCAATAATATTACTGAGGAACCATGAGATGACTGTGAGCAAAATGCCGAACCTGGGCCGCATGAGAATTGTATAATTCAGAGGGTGGCAGATCGCCACAAAGTGGTCATAGGCCATGGTCCCCAAGAGCAAATTGTCAATGACGACAAACACAATAGAAAAGTACATCTGTGTGATGCAGCTCTCATAAGAGATGGATTGACTCTTGGTTTGAATATTCACCAGCATTTTGGGGACTGAGTTGGAAATGGAGGAAATATCAGCAAAGGATAGATTGGCAAGGAAGAGATACATGGGGGTATGAAGGTACGTATCCAAGCTGATAGCCACAATGATGAGCCCGTTCCCAATCACAGTGACCAGGTACATACCCAAGAAAAGCACAAAGAGGAGGTTTTGATGCTCATCCTGCTTGAAAAATCCCAGGAGAATGAATTCAGTGATGGTGGTTTGGTTTCCTTGATGCATATTTCTGCCGATCTGAAGAAAGGAACTAAAAGTCTTCATATTCCTACAAGAAAACCTAACATGGTATCATTTGGCTGCAGCCATTGCAGTAAGTCACTTGAATAAAGTTTCTTCTGCTTATTAAGTGGAAGTGCTACTTAATAAGGAAGTATTTCAGCAGTGCAGAGATTTGGAAAATGCCTTAGAAAAAGACAGGACATGGCCGAAACTTCTCAAAAAAACTGTTTTAAACTCTAACAGGATTCTGAATGTGATTTTTCCAGTTGGTTCTAAATGTAGTTTAAATCCCGCAAACTGAGGGTCATAGATGAGGCATACCCTATATTCTAAACATGTTATATACACCTGCAGAATTAACTTAAAAATGACCAAACTGGTTGCCAAACCACCTTTATCCTTTAAATCTAAGAAAACAGAAATTTCAAGTCTCGTGAAAGTGAAGAGTTTGGGGAAGTAAACACAACTGAGGGTTAGGAATCACTATGGCAGTGTACACCATTGTGTTGGTGCTTCATCCCACTAACGCCGGGGGAGAACTCCAAAACAAGTGCTTTTGGAGAATGAGTACAAGAAGGAGCAACCAGGGTTTTACTTCATCTGTGGCTACATATTAGCCTCAAGAAAATTTAGGGGGCACACATACACTTAAAGACTTCTGTTTGCCTCTTGCTTTTAAAGGGGCTCACTGGATCAGGCTACGATGGCAGGGGTAAAGAGAAAAGATGGTGGGGATAGAGGGAAAAGATGGTGGTTAGTAGGGCAATCTGCATTTTCACCCATGACATGGCATAAATATGTGAATTTCCCATAGGACACGTGATGCTATAGGAGGTCATTGGAGTCAAGTCACCTTGTTGAGATTCCAATCCAGAAACAGCCTATCAGGGCAGAGGAGGCTGTAGCAATAAGAAACCATGAGGTGGGTCTCTTATGAAAGAGAGATCTTAAAGAGATCAGGGACATAATTCATTGCCCTTGTCAGGGAACCGCATAATGAGGCAGTCCCAAACGGGAGCCCCTGACGAACCCCAAAATGGTCTCAAGAGACACCAGGCCTGCCACATATAAGGCACAAGCTGCTAGTATCTATGGCAACAGATATGAACACTTTTGCCTTTTTTCCCACTCCTGTTCTTCCTCCTTGACCTGATAAAACTGAAAAAGAAGGAAAGACCAAAATGACTAAAACAACAACAACAATAGTAACAACAACGGGTTTGTGGGAAGAGAGGCCAAAGAGCAAGGGAAGAACATATGCTCCCACCTTTCCACTGTATGACCCAAGCTACACATCAGATCTGAGCTCACAAGGGAGGACCCATGCTTTGAATTGATAGTGAAGCTGAAGTTTAAAATTGGGCTGGACTTGGTTTTTTAATACCTGGAAATGGGTCTTCAGTATCAGTTAAACATTTTTAAAACCTTAAGTGGCCAGAAAGGTAAACGGCTCTCACAAGGTGTCATCCAGGAGAAGGGAAGAGAGACTGGACCTAGTATGATTTTCCTTGTGATTTATTGGAAATAATATCAGCTTGGGAACAAAGAGACATTTGTCTCCCTCTCACTTTATCCCTCTCTTCTACCTATCTCCAACATCACTTATCTCTCAAAGATTTTCTTTCCATTCAGAGGCCAGAAAAGAGACAATCTTCGTCTCTGAAATTCCTGAAAACTGAAAGGCATTAGAGATTGAAGCAGAGATCTGAAGTCTCTTTCCTCCTGAAATGCTTGGCTTACAAATCAGAGACAAGAGAAAACACATGCAGAAGGGAGAATCCACAACAAAACTGAAATGAGCTAAATAACTGGCAGGCATCTATATTGAAGATACAGACCGGCCTGTGGTTACCAAGGCCTGGGCTGGTTTGGGCTTGACTAGAGAGGGAACTGTATGTTTCTGAGTGACAATCTCTGATCTCTGCTTTCCGTTCTACCTTTCCACTTACCAGTAGTCCTGCACAAATTGTTCTGAATTCTTAAGGTGACTGTCTAGCTGGTCAAGACCAATGCTGGATTCTGAAGAGATTCACCTCTGAATGATGGTAAAAATCTCAGAAAGTTACTGGTTTCTAGACCCAGTGGCTTTCCTTATCCTTAGCAGAGTTGCAGGTGGAGACTCAGTAGCTCTTAGGTATTTTTCAGATTAAACTCTTCCTCCAAGCTTCCTTCCAAGATCTTAATAAAATCACGGTGCTGGGCTCACCTGGGACATTCAGGTCCTTCTCATCCCTTTGGGATAATACCCCTCAAGTGTTTTCCTCAAGACACAGTAATTTTTACATCCAAGTCTTGATGAGGTAAATGGGGAATAGACAGACAGCTCTGCTTTTTTTCCCTTGTTTTGTCTTCACATGCTCTTCCCGCTTGTGATTTCCTATCTGTAACTTAGTTGATTATTGCTCTTCACAGGGAGGGAGTTGTTTGCGCTGTCTTCTTCTCCCAGCGAAATGGTCAGCATTTTCAGAGTTCTTTTCTGTGTCTTCTCTAATGCTTAATGGTGGGAAACACTTAGGAAATACCTAGAGAATGGAGTTGAATTTTTTGACTAGAGATTATGAATCCAAAGGGATGTCATATCTAGTGGAAGGAGATAGGGTATGGCCTTGGCATCGGTTAAATGAATGTTAGTGTTGGAAAAAAAGTTGGAGGCCCAATGACTCAGCATTCAGAGCTCTTAATTGCAAACTAAAGACAAATGCTGGGTTTCTAATTTTGCAAATAAACATATTGAAATGATATTGAGTGCTTCACAATACAATGGGAAGGATGGAAAAAGACATCCAGAAATGGACAGAAGCAAGACAGACTGCCCTGTCAGGGACTCAGGCAAAATTAATATATCCCTTCTTCCAATGCTTAGAGGTGCCTCACAATATAGTACACTGATTTCTCACTCAAGCTAAGAATGTTGATTCCCTCTTCAATAGGAAAAAACTCAACCTATGGATTAAGTGTATCAATGAATAATATTTAAAATAATGGGGTAATAGAGAAGGAAGAAGGCAAGTTATTCTATTTATTTATGCACTAACATACAAAAATAAGTAACATTTATATATGCTAGTAGTGAATTATCTGTAAAAGAAATAAGGCAAACAATTACATATACAATAGCTACAAATAAAAAGTAACTAGGAATAAACTTAACCAAGGAAGGGAAAGATTTCTCCTCCAAAAGACTGTACAACTTTGATGAAATAAACTGAAGAAGACACAAATATATGGAATGATATCTTGTGTTCAAGGATTAGAAGAATTGATATTGTTAAAATAACAATACTACCCAAAGAGATCTACAGATTTTTATTACTATCCTTATAAAAATTCCAATGACATTCTTCACAGAAATAGAAAAAAATCCTAAAATTCATACGGAACCATAAAAGACCCCCAATTGAGAAAGCAGTCCTGAACAAAAAGAAAAAAAGCTGAAGGCATCACACTACCTGACGTCAAAATATACTATAAAGCTATAGTAACCAAAACAGCATGGGGCTGGCATAAAAACAGACACATAGAGCAGTGAAACAAAATAGAAAGCATAGAAATAAATTCAACCACCTAAAGCCAATGGATTTTCAATAAAGACACCAAGAACAACACACTGGGGTGAAGACAATAACTTGTGTTGGTAAAACAAGATATTCACATGCAGAAAAATGACACTAGACTCCTATCTCTCACCATACACAAACATAAACCTAAAATAGATGGAAGACATAAATGTAAAACCATAATCTATGAAACTAACAGAAGAAAGAGAAACACTTCATAACATTAGGCTGGGCAAAAATTTTTAAAATTAGACCTCAAAAGCTCAGGCATTACAAGCAGAAATAGACAAATGAGGTTAAATCAAAGTAAAAAGATTTTGCACAGCAAGGAAAACTATTAACAGATTGAAGAGATAATCTACAAAATTTCAAAAAATATTTGCAAACTATGCATCTCTCAAGGGGTTAAAATACAGACTATATAAGGAACTTAACAGCAAAAAAATATCCAATTGAAAATGGGCAGATCTTAATACACATTTCTCAAAAGATGACATGGCTAACAGATATATAAAAAATGCTCAACATCATTAATCATTGGAGGATTCCAAATCAAAATTATCTTGGGATATCTCCTCACGCTTATTAGGATGGCTATTTCTCAGAAGACAAGAGAAAACAAGTGTTAGCAAGGATGTGGAGGAAAGGGAATACATACGCTTACACACTGTTGGTGGAATTGTAAAATAGTACAGCCACTATGAAAAACAGAATGGGGTTTCCTCAAGAAATTAAAAATAGAACTACCATATGATCCAGCAATCCCACTACTAGGTATATATCCAAAGGAAATGAAATCTGTACATTAAAGAAATTTCTGCATTCCCATGTTTATTGCCGCACTATATACAATAGGCAAGATATGGAGTCAACTTAAGTATTTAATAATGCATAAACAGATAAAGATGTGGTATATATACACAGTAGAATACCATTCAGCCATAAGAAAGAATAAAATTCTGTCTTTTGTGACACCATGGATGAACCTGGGGAACATTATGTTAAGTAAAAAAAGCCTGACACAGAAAGATATATAGCCCATGATCTCACTTATATGTGGAATTTTAAAAAAAAGTTGGCATTATAGAAGCAGAGAGTAGAAGAGTGGTTACCAGAGACTGGAGAGGAAATGGGGGAGGGAAGGATGGGGAGAAGTTTCCCACGACCCGTGAGAATTATGGAAGTTACAATTCAAGATGAGAGTTGGGTGGTGACAAAGCCAAACCATATCACCATGGAAAGCAGTCACCATCTTGTACCACAGAATCTAGGAATAATGGGAGAGCAGGAGTAGATCTGAGTGACACAAGAAATGGACTGTACTCAATACAAACCCTATACTGTCTCTTCTTCTAGTGACACCAAGCACCTCCCAAACTCTGCTACTTCTTTCCAAGCTCGCTGACATTGAGCCTATGTGCCAACCCTTTCTACACAAAATTTTCCTCCTCTCCTGGACCAACAGTAATAACCATATTGAGGAACATGGTTTCTGCCTTCCTATGTGGCCATCAATGGGCCAGATAATGCAATCTGGGAGTTCAGGAAAGTCGATGGGAAATTAGATGAGAAGAAACAGAGAAAATCAATATACCTTCCTTTCTCCCCTCCATGGACTGCTCCCAGGTATACTTTCTCCTTCCATATGAATCCCACATGCTGAGTGAACATATCTAATAAGTAATGTTCCCTGACTCTTTCGTTGTGAACAATGACACAGAAATGCATTTCATTGCATTCCTTTGCACTTATTCTGGATTCAAGTCCCTCAACTCCCCCTCTAAATCTTCCTGGGGTTTTACCTTCCAAACAGAATATCAAAACTTAAATTCTCAGCTCAGGCTCTGCTTTCTAGAAGAACCTACAGTAATAGACTACAACAGTAATAGACTAAGGAAATCATAAATATTCCTCATGAACAAGTTGCAGAAATGAGGATTCCAATTCCACCCATATTTCCTTTCTAGCTGTGACTAGATTGATATATAAATAAATAGGTGACAGATATAGATAGATAATTAATAGGTAAAAATAATAACTTGCCTTCTCTTTCTTCTCTATTACCACATTATTTTTAAATTTTTTTATTTATTTTTTAATTGGCACATTGCATTTGTCCATATTTATGGGGTACAATGATGTTTTGATACATAGCTATGTTGTATAATGATCCAATCAGTGTAGTTAGTATATCTATCACTTCATGCAATTATCATTTCTTTGTTATGAGAACATTCAAAAGCATTTCTTCTAGCCATTTTGTAATATACAATATTTTACTATTAACTAGAGTCACCCTACTGTGCAATAGAACACTAGAATGTATTCCTCCTATCTCATTGTAACTTTGTAACCATTGACCAACTTCTCCCTATCCTTCCCTCCCCCATTTCCTCTCCAGTCTCTGGTAACAACTGTTCTACTCTCTGCTTTTATAATGCCAATTTTTTTTGAATTTCACATATAAGTGAGATCATGTGCTATATATCTTTCTATGTCTGGCCTATTTCACTTAACATGATGTTCTCCAGGTTCATCCATGTTGTCACAAATGACGGAATTTCATTCTTTCTTATGGCTGAATGGTATTCCACTGTGTATATATACCACATTTTCTTTACCCATTTATGCATTATTAAATACTTAGGTTGATTCTATATCTTGCCTATTGTATATAGTGTGGCAATAAACATGGGAATGCAGACCTTTTTAAACATACAGATTTCATTTCCTTTGGATATATACCTAGTAGTGGGATTGCTGGATCATATGGTAGTTCTATTTTTAATTTCTTGAGGAAACCCCATTCTGTTTTTCATAGTGGCTGTACTACTTTACAATTCCACCAACAGTGTGTAAGCGTATGTGTACCCTTTCCTCCACATCCTCGCTAACATTTGTTTACTTCTGTCTTCTGACACATAGCCATTCTAATAAGAGTAAGGAGATATCCCAAGATAATTTTGATTTGGAATTATCTGATGATTAATGATGTTAAGCATTTTTTATACATCCGTTTGGCCATGTTTTCTTTTGAGAAACGTGTATTAAGATCTGCCCATTTTTAATTAGTTTTTTGCTGTTAAGTTCCTTATATAGTCTATATTATAACCCCTTGTCAGATGCATAGTTTGCAAATACTTTTTGAAATTTTGTAGGTTATCTCTTCAGTTTGTTAATAGTTTCTTTGCTGTGCAAATTTTTTTTAGTTTAACTCCATTTCTCTATTTTTGTTTTTAATGCCTGAGATTTTGAGGTCTTATTTTAAAAATTTTTGCCCAGCCCAATGTTACAAAGTGTTTCTCTATGTTTTCTTCTGTTAGTTTCATAGATGATGGTTTTACACTTATGTCTTCCTTCTATTTTAAGTTTATGTTTGTGTATGGTGAGAGACAGGAGTCTAATGTCATTCTTCTCCATGTGAATATCCAGTTTTACCAACACCATTTATTGTCTTTGCCCCAATGTGTTGTTCTTGGCATCTTTATTGAAAATCCATTGACTTTAGGTGCTTGAATTTATTTCCACACTTTATATTTTATTTCACTGATCTCTGTATCTGTTTTATCCCACGCTGTTTTGGTTGCTACAGCTTTATAGCATATTTTGAAGTCAGGTAGTGTGGTGCCTTCAGCTTTATTCGTTTTGTTCAGGACTGCTTTGTCAATTTGGGGTTTTTTATGGTTCCATATGAATTTTAGGATTTTTTTCTACTTCTGTGAAGAATGTCATTGAAATTTTTATAAGGATCGTAATAAACCTGTAGATCTCTTTGGATAGTATGGTTATTTTAACAATATCCATTCTTCTAATCCTTGAACACAAGATATCATCCCATTTATTTGTGTCTTCCTCAGTTTCTTTCATCAAAGTTATATAGTTTTCAGGGTAGAAATCTTTCACCTCCTTGGTTAAGTTTATTCCTAGTTATTTTTCATTTGTAGCTATTGTAAATGTAATTGTTTGCCTTATTTCTTTTACAGATAATTCACTACTAGCATATATAAGTGCTACTGATTTTTGTATGTTAGTGCATAAATAGAATAACTTGCCTTTTTCCATCTCTATTACACCATTATTTTAAATATTATTCATTGATACACTTAATCCATAGGTTGAGTTTTTTCCTATTGAAGAAGGGATCAACTTTCTTAGTTTGGGTGAGAAATAATTGTACTATATTGTGAGTCACCTCTAAGCATTGGAAGAAGGGATATATTAATTTTGCCTGAGTCCCTGGCTGGGCAGTCTCTCTTGATTCTGTCCATTTCCGGATGTCTTTTTCCATCCTTCCCATTGTATTGTGAAGCACTCATATCATTTCAATATGTTTATTTGCAAAATTAGAAACCCAGCATTTGTCTTTAGTTTGCAATTAAGAGCCTTGAATGCTGAATCACTGGGTCTCCAATTTCCAATGCTAACATTTATTCAACTGATGCCAAGATCACATCCTATTTCCATCCACTAGAGATCACATCCCTTTGGATTCATAATCTCTAGTCAAAAAATTCAACTCCATTCTCTAGGTATTTCCTAAGTGTTTCCCACCATTAAGCATTAGAGAAGACACAGAAAAGAACTCTGAAAATGCTGACCATTTCGCTGGGAGAAGAAGACAGCGCAAACAACTCCCTCCCTGTGAAGAGCAATAATCAACTAAGTTACAGATAGGAAATCACAAGCGGGAAGAGCATGTGAAGACAAAACAAGGGAAAAAAAGCAGAGCTGTCTGTCTGTTCCCCATTTACCTCATCAAGACTTGGATGTAAAAATTACTGTGTCTTGAGGAAAACACTTGAGGGATATTATCCCAAAGGGATGGGAAGGACCTGAATGTCCCAGGTGAGCCCAGCACCGTGATTCTATTAAGATCTTGGAAGGAAGCTTGGAGGAAGAGTTTAATCTGAAAAATACCTAAGAGCTACTGAGTCTCCACCTGCAACTCTGCTAAGGATAAGGAAAGCCACTGGGTCTAGAAACCAGTAACTTTCTGAGATTTTTACCATCATTCAGAGGTGAATCTCTTCAGAATCCAGCATTGGTCTTGACGAGCTAGGCAGCCACCTTAAGAACTCAGAACAGTTTATGCAGGACTACTGGTGGGTAGGAAAGGTAGAATGGAAAGCAGAAATCAGAGATTGTCACTCAGAAACATACAATTCTCCCTTCTAGTCAAGTGCAAACCAGCCCAGGGCTTGATAACCACAGGCCAGTCTGTATCTTCAATATAGATGCCTGCCAGTTATTTAGCTCATTTCAGTTTTGTTGTGGATTCTCCCTTCTGCATGTGTTTTTCCTCCTCTCTGATTTCTAAGCCAAGCTTTTCAGAAGCAAAGAAACTTCAGATCTCTGCCTCAATCTCCAATGCCTTTCAGTTTTCAGGAATTCCAGACATGATTTCCTCTTTTCTGGATGCTGAATGGAAAGAAAATCTTTGAGAGATAAGTGATGTTGGAGATAGGTAGAAGAGAGGGATAAAATGAGAGGGAGACAATGTTAGGAGAGTAGAAAGAGGGACAAATGTCTCTTTGTTCCCAAGCTGAAATTATTTCCAATAAATCACAAGGAAAATCATACTAGGTCCAGTCTCTCTTCCCTTCTCCTGGATGACACCTTGTGAGAGCCGTTTACCTTTCTGGCCACTTAAGGTTTTAAAAATGTTTAACTTTGATACTGAAGACCCATTTCCAGGTATTAAAAAACCAAGTCCAGCCCAATTTTAAACTTCAGCTTCACTATCAATTCAAAGCATGGGTCCTACCTTGTAAGTTCAGATCTGATGTGTAGCTTGGGTCATACAGTGGAAAGGTGGGAGCATATGTTCTTCCCTTGCTCTTTGGCCTCTCTTCCCGCAAAACCGTTGTTGTTACTATTGTTGTTGTTGTTTTAGTCATTTTGGTCTTTCCTTCTTTTTCAGTTTTATCAGGTCAGGGAGGAAGAATGGGGATGGGAAAAAAGGCAAAAGTGTTCATATCTGTTGCCATAGATACTAGCAGCTTGTGCCTTATATGTGGCAGGCATGGTGTCTCTTGAGATCATTTTGAGGATTGTCAGAGGCTCCCTTTTGGAGACTGCCCCATTATGCGGTTCCCTGACAAGGGCAATGAATTATGTCCCTGATCTCTTTAAGATCTCTCTTTCAAAAGAGACCCACCTCATGGTTTCTTATTGCTACAGCCTCCTCTGCCCCAATAGGCTGTCTCTGGATTGGAATCTCAACAAGGTGACTTGACTCCAATGACCTCCTATAGCATCACGTGTCCTATGGGAAATTCACATATTTATGCCATGTCATGGGTGAAAATGCAGATTGCCCTACTAACCACCATCTTTTCCCTCTACCCTGCCATCACGACCTGATCCAGTGAGCCCCTCACCTTTAGAAATGAGAGGCAAACAGAAGTCTTTAAGTGTATCTGTGCCCCCTAAATTTTCTTGAAGCTAATATCTAGCCACAGATGAAGTAAAACCCTGATTGCTCCTACTTGTACTTATTCTCCAAAAGCACTTGTTTTGGAGTTCTCCCCCGGCGTTAATGGGATGAAGCACCCACACAATGGTGTACACTCCCATAGCCATTCCTAACCCTTAGTTGTGTTTCCTTCTCCAGTCTCTTCACTTTTACGAGACTTGAAATTTCTCCTTTCTTAGATTTAAGGCATAAAGTTGAACAAGGGAGATGATTTGGGGACCAGTTTGGTAACTTTTAAGTAATTCCTGCACATGTACCTAACATCTCTAGAATATAGGGTATGCCTCACCTATGATCCTCAGTTTGGGGGATTTAACCTACATTTAGAACCAACTGGGAAAATCACATTCAGAATTCTGTTAGAGTTTAAAACATGTTCATTGAGAAGAATCTGCCATGTCCTGTCTTTTTCTGTGGCATTTTCCAAATCTCTGCACTGCTGAAATACTTCCTTATTAAGTAGCACTTCCACTTAATAAGCAGAAGAAGCTTTATTGCTCATCAGCTTAAAGGAAGTGCCTTACTGTAATGGCTGCAGCCAAATGACACCATGTTAAATTTTCTTGTAGGTGTATGAAGACTTTGTGTTCCTTTCTTCAGATCAGCAGAAATATGCATCAAGAAAACCAAACCACCATCACTGAATTCATTCTCCTGGGACTCTCCAACCAGGCTGAACATCAAAACCTCCTCTTTGTGCTTTTCCTGAGTATGTATGTGGTCACTGTGGTTGGGAACGGGCTCATCATTGTGGCTATCAGCTTGGATATATACCTTCACACCCCCATGTATCTCTTCCTTGCCTACCTATCCTTTGCTGATATTTCCTCCATTTCCAACTCAGTCCCCAAAATGCTGGTGAATATTCAAACCAACAGCCAATCCATCTCTTATGAGAGCTGCATCACACAGATGTACTTTTCTATTGTGTTTGTCGTCACTGACAATTTGCTTTTGGGGACCATGGCCTTCGACCACTTTGTGGCGATCTGCCACCCTCTGAACTATACAACTTTCATGCGGGCCAGGTTCGGCACTTTGCTCACAGTCATCTCGTGGTTCCTCAGTAATATTATTGCTCTTACACACACCCTTCTGCTCATTCAATTGCTCTTCTGTGACCACAACACTCTCCCACACTTCTTCTGTGACTTGGCCCCTCTGCTCAAACTGTCCTGTTCAGATACAATGATCAATGAGCTTGTGTTGTTTATTGTGGGTTTATCAGTTATCATCTTCCCCTTTGTACTCATCTTCTTCTCCTATGTCTGCATCATCAGAGCTGTCCTGGGAGTATCATCCACACAGGGAAAGTGGAAAGCCTTCTCCACTTGTGGCTCTCACCTGACAATTGCATTACTGTTCTACGGAACCACTGTAGGCGTGTACTTTTTCCCCTCCTCCACTCACCCTGAGGACACTGATAAGATTGGTGCTGTCCTATTCACTGTGGTGACACCCATGATGAACCCCTTCATCTACAGCTTGAGGAATAAGGATATGAAAGGTGCCCTGAGAAAGCTCATCAATAGAAAAATTTCTTCCCTTTGATGCCCTGGACATCTACATTCTTTTAGTCCACATAATCAGATAAATGATTCAGCCCAGAGTGTATGACACAGTTGTGACGGTTCAACTTTTGATGAACTTGCAGATGTCTGTCTCCTATTCCAACCTCTAAGGGGATTGGAGCTTTTCCACTTAGCTCTTGTCTTGGAAACAAAATCTGTAACTGCCATGGTAAGTCACAAGAATAACACGCATCCTTAGAGAGTAGATTGGTGGTTACCAGGGCCCAGTAGCAGAGAAGTGGAGTGGAGTTGAATAGAGGTTGATTAATGGGTACAACAATACAGTTAGATAGAAGAAATAAGACCTATTGTTTGATAAATCATTATGGGGCACTATGGTAAACAGTAATCTATTATATATTTCAAAATAGCTAAAAGAGAATAATTCCAATGTTCCCAGCATAAAGAAAAGATAAATGTTTAAGGTTATGGATATCCTAATCCCCTAATTTGATTATTACACATTATATGAATGTATCAAAATATAAGATGTTCCCCATAACTATGGAGGACAATTTATCAATAAAAATACATGTATTGATAAATTAAAAATTTATGCATAAATAAAAAATTAATTTAAAAACACATCTTAATTACAATCTATATTATTATAAACTTTGGTACAAATTATTCATAACCTAGACTATCACAGGTGCATAGAGTGCCTACAGTCTAGCCTTTGTAGCTTTGAAGACAGTTATTACTACTTCTTTCTTTAATCTACATTTCTTTAGGTCAGTTTTTCTCAAAGTTTGTTTTGTTAAGGTACTATTCAGTGAGATGTTTAGTGGTTATAACAATGAAGATTCCCATGGTCAAATAATTTTTGGCAACTCTGAGTTATATGAAGCACAATGTAATAACTGGACAACTTCCAAGAACCTTCATTGTCATGTAAATCTCCAAGAGGGTAAGATGGTACACAGCATTTCTCAAGACTAAACTTGAAATAATTGAAATTCAATTATTTCCATCATACAGAACCCAATTCATCACAGTTGTTCGCGGAACTAGCATTGCACAAATATGTTTTAGGAAATATGACTCCAGATGACTTCAATTATTTCAGTGGAAAACCACAGAGTTTATGTATAAATGTATCAGTTAGAGTTCTGACTCTGTCCCCAACAGCTATGTAGTATATAGTAGACACTAAAAACAAAGTGATACTTTTTTTTAACTGCCCACCTTCCTGGCTTCCAACTCCGACCTACCTGCCCTGCCAAATTAAGTTTATTTTTTCCCAGCCTAAGCTGACTTCCGTTCTTCTCTAAACTTAGAATCATCCAACCTATTTAAGAGGAAATGTATAATCAGCCACCTGCCTTTCTCCATGCTATCTCGTAAACTTTGATGCTTCCTTTTAGTTTTCATTATAAATGTAAAACCCACCTGCTTCTGTATGGGCTACCAAATAAACCTCTCAACAGTTCTAGCCTTCCTCAAGTACCTCAATACCCATCCTGTTTCATCCGTAGCTCCAACATGGAACAGCACAGAACTCTGCCTTCATTATTCCATGTGGAGCAGTAGAAAGGGTCCCAGATTTGTAATCAAGAGACATGGAATCTAGACCAACTCTGCAGCTAATTCACTGCAAGGCAAGTCATGTTGCTAATCTCTCAGCTTCTTTTTTCTGTGATCTTGCAATTGGTCTAATATGAACAAAGAAAGTTTTATAACAGCATGTATCATAAAAACCCATTTTTTGTAAAACAGAATTTGCATAAAGAGATGCCTCAGAGGAGAGCCATCAAAATATAAGTGGTTGTGGCAGATTGCATTTCCCAAAAATGGCCACAATATTTCCATCCCACGTGCTCTTGAAGTACCCTACCACTTCTCCATCAAGAGGTGGAGCCCATGACCCTCACCATTGAGCTTGGTTTTGAGTACTTTTTTGACCAATAGAGCACCCCATTAGTACTGTTGCATGATTTCTGAGGCTGTCTTAGAAGAACCAATTCAGCTTTGATATGGACTAAATATTTGTTTCCCCCCAAAATTCATGTGTTAAAATCCTAACCCTCAAACTGATGGTAGTAGGAGGTGGAGCCTTTGAAAGCTGAGTAGGTCATGAGGATGAAGCCCTCATAAATTATTAGTGCCTTTATACAAGGGATCCCAGAGAATTCTATTTCTGCCACATGGAGAAATACATCAAGAAATCAACAGTCTGAAACCAAAAGAGAGGTCTCATCAGAACCTGACCATCCCGGCTAGCACACTCATCTCAGACTTTCAGCCTTCAGAACTATGAAAAATAAATGTTTTTTAAGCCACCAAGTTCATGGAAATTTGTTATAGCATCCCAGACAAAGACACACTTCCACCTGTCCCACTCTCTCTCTCGGGACATGGACCTCTGGAGCTCTGAGTTGCTATGGAAGTCCCACTACCCTAAAGTCACCATGCTGGACAGACCATATGGAAAGACTATACAGAATTCAAGAGAGTTGTCCAAGGAGTCCCAGCTGCACTGGTCCAACAGTCTTTGAGTCTCCCTACCCAGTCACCAACATGTGAGTGAGTTTTCAGGTGATTCCAGCCTCAGCCCCAACCACAAGGCACATGAGAGACCAAGTGAAAACTACCTAGCCAAGCCCAGCCAACCCCTAGAACCCAAAAGACAACCATAAGATGATTGTTATTGTTTTAAGTTTCTCCCATTTGGAGTGGTTTGTACACAGTAATATATAACCATAACAGTGGTTTTGCTTGGGTCATGAGATAAAATGATTCATATTACATTCTGTATTGCTTTAACATTTTACAATGATTACCATTATAGGAAGAGGGAAAAACTTTTTAAAATTTTAATGAATATGAACTGTCTTGCCTATTCAACCATCATACTTAAGATGGTACCAGAATTTTCTCAGTTATATAAACATTAGTTGGTGAACCTGGGATTCCCCATCCCCCAGCCTTTCTTCTGGTTAGATCTAGTCCATATTTGATAGAATAAGGACCACTAGGGTTAAACTCAGGTGATTTGGTCTAAACTGATCCCATCCCTGTTGGCCTGTGCTGAACCTCTTATCTCTGGCGTGTAGGTCCCATAGGAGGCTGGAAAGTAGAACTTCATCAGCAGTGAGTAACAGAAAGGTTAATTTGGGCCAGATTTAGACTTACATGTACATTGAGAGTGTGCCTAAGAAAATGAATTAGGATTAGATTTGGGACACAGAACAGAATTGAGTAAGAAAATAGAAAGTCACAAACTTTTATAAAAATCCAGACAAGTCTTTACAGAGGAAATGCGTAAATCTATGTCTAGATACTTTTATTTCCCTGAATCATTCTCCAATTTGCCATTTTCAAGAAACATTTATTGAGAACTTTCTATTTGTCAGGATCTGAATCTGGGACTAAAAGAATGAATAATTCACAGTGCATGACCTCAGTGCACTCTCAACCTAAAAAGAAAAATTAACTTAAAAATGATTTTACATGATTTTTAAGACTTGATAAGTGAAGACAATGTTTGGTCAATAATTAATGTCATCAGATTAAGAAAACATAAAGATTTTGTGCAAAGCACAGCCAACTGAATTTTACACTATTCTTGTTCTTTTGTGTTAGCTGTACCTGAGAAAAGCCAATTTTTGATGTTATGAATAAATCAACAGAAACTCATGCCATCTCGTTGTAGCTAACACAAATGCAAGAGGACTGCCTAGAAACACACACAAAAAAAATCTATACATTGGCTGGGAATAACTTGTAAAACCTCATCTATAAAGGGTCAGCAAATATTTACTTACTGATCACTAGAATTTTTTTTAATACCTATTGAGAGTCAAAAGGAAATGAGGCAATGCTGTTGCTTCCTTGGCTCTTACTTCATAGTGCATAAGACAGATAATGAACACATAAATAAATACATCATTGATATAATATGAGGTGGTAAGAAGAATTCAATGAGAGGTAAAGCAGGTATGGGGACAATGAAACAGAGAGTGGCTAATGATAGCAAAGGAAGTTTAGGCCTTGGGGAAGGACTCTGTTAGATATTTGAACAGAGAACTGAATAGAATAAGGGAGTGAACCATGAGACCTGGGGACGCATTCCAATAAAAGGGAAGAGCACGTTTAAAATCCTTATGGGAACAGGTTTTGCATTCTGCATGGACAGCATTCTCCATGGCTAGAGCAGAGTGAGTGAGGAGAGTGGAAGCACATATAGTCATGGAGGTAATTAGAAACCCATACAGGCTGAGTCTTATAGGCCATGGTAAAGAATTTTATTTTATTTTATTTAAATAAAAGAAGTATTTAAAGTCATAGGGCTTGGTGAAATTACCTAAGGAGCAACTAAGAGAGAGAGCAAGGTCAATGACAAAGCCCTGGTAGACTCTAATATTTAAGAAACAGAATAAACTAGTAGTCAGGAAGACAAAGGAAGAATGTGAAAGTTTGTCCAAGAAAAAAGAAGGAGCAACTGTTTCAAATAACACAGGACCCAAACCATTACTCCTGAAATCATACTTTCTGATCTGTTCTCTTCAACTCAGGCAGCTATCATGCCTAGCTATCTCTCAAGCAGTCCTGAATCCTCAGCATTGAAATCGAAATGAAACTACCTCCTTCAGAACAGATTTTTCAGAAGATGAAAAAATTTCAAATGTCTTCTTTTCCTCTGTCTTCCTTCCACTTGCATATGTCCCTCTATATATATTCTCCTTTTAACAGAGGATTGTAAATGACTCAGAACTACAAACCTCTTTTAAAATTGGCATACAGTTTTAGGTAATACCATCTGTGACAATTTTACCCACCCTAGAATGATCAGGAACATCTTCTACTTACTGTGATAATGAAAAGAATAATATACTGTAACCAAGTGTAGTTTATCCCCCAAATTACAAGAATGGTTTAACATTCAAAAATCAGAAAATGCTATCCATCATATTAATAAACAAAAACAAAACTAGATTATCAGCTCAGTAGATGCAGAAAATCCTAAATCCATTCCTGATTTTAAAAAGAAAAATACTATGAAAAGAAAAAACAGGAATCAAAGGGAACTCCCTTATGTGAAAAAGATCATCTGTGAAAAATCTACATAAGGAATGGTGGGAAAATGAGAGATTATTCCCTAATATAAACAATAGGACAGAAATTTACATTCTCCTCATTTCCGTTTAACATTGTATTTGAAGTTCTAGCCAGTGCAATAAGGCAAGAAAAAGAAATAAAACTATTCAAATTAGAAAGAAAGAGATAAAACTGCTTTTATTCATAGACAACACAATTGTGTATGTAGAAAATCAAAAGGAATAAATAGAAGAAGCTACTAAAACTAATAAGTGAGTTTAGCAAGCTTGCAAGATACAAATATAGTAGCATAAAGACAGACATATAGACAAATGGAACTGAATAGAGAGCCCAGAAATAAACCCAAATATGATCAACCAATATTTGACAAGGGCGCCAAGAATACACAGTGGAGAAATTATAGTGCCTTCAACAAATGATATTGGGAAAGCCAGATTTCCACATGCAAAGGAATGAAGTTGGATGCTAATCACACACCATACACAAAAATCAATCCAACATGAATTAAAAACTTACATAAATGTAAATCCTGAAACTCTTAGGAGAAAATGCAGAGGAAAATGTTCATGATTTTGGTTTTGGCAACACTTTCTTAGCTATGACACCAAACGCACAGGCAACAAAAGCAAAACTAGACAAGTTAGACCACATCAAATTTTTTAAAGCTGCTTCTCTTCAAAGGAAACAGTCAACAGAGTAAAATGACAACCTAAGGAATTGGAGAAGATATTTGCAAATCATATATCTGATAAGGGATTAATATCTAAAATATACCAGGAACTTGTACAACTCAATAGGAAAAAAAAGTAATTGAATTAGAAGACGGGTAAAAGATCTAAATACACATTTGTCCAAAGAAGACATAAAAATGGCCAACAGGTATATGAAAAGATGTTCAACATCACTATTCATCAGAAAAATGCAAATCAAAACCACAGTGAAATATCACCTCACATATGTTAGGATGGCTATTCTCAAAAAGTCAAAAGATAAGTGTTGGAGAGGGTGTGGAAGAAAAAAAAAAACAGTTGTTCATTTTTAGTGGGAATGTAAATTGGTATACAATCCAGCAACTCCATTTCTGAGTTTTTATCCAAAGAAAATGAAATCAGTATCTCAAAAATATATCTGCACTCTCATGTTAATTGCAGCATTAGTCACCGTGGCTAAGATAGAGAAAACACTTGTGTCTATAGATGGATGAATGGATAAAGGAAATGTGGTATACATATACAATGGAGTATTATTTATTAATCGCTATAAAAAAGAAGAAAATACCAGCATCTGTGACAACATGTATGAACCTGGAGGATATTATGCTAAGTGAAAAATAATCCAGACACAGAAAGGCAAATACTGTATGATATCAATGATATGTGGAATCTAAAAAAGTCCAACTCATAGAAGCAGAGAACAATAGTTTCCAGTGGCTGGAGGTGGAGAAAAATAATATATTGATCAAAGGGAACAAATTTTCAGTTATAAAATGAACAAGTTCTGGAGATTTCACATACAGCATGTGTGGTGATAGGTGCGTTGATTAATTTGTTTGTGATAATGATTACACAATGTAATGATTATTACAATGCATCTACCAAGTCATCAAATTACACACCATATATATATATATATATATATATATATATATATATATACACAATCTTTATTCAATAAATCTTTTTAAATTAAAAAAACATTTTAATGGGCAAAAGATCTGAATAGTATTTTTCCAAAATGATATACAACTGACCAACAGGTATATGAAAAGATGCTTAACATCACTCATCAACAGGGGAATGCAAATCAAACCACAATGAGATATCATCTCACACCTGTTAGGATGGTTATTATTTTTTTAAAAAAATAAATGATTGTGAGGACATGGAGAAATTGGAACCCTTGTACACTGTTGTGGGAAATGTAAGATGATGCAGTTGCTATGGGAAACAGTATGAAGTTTTCTCAAAAAACTAAAGATAGAATTATCGTATGACTCAGCAATAAATATTCAATACTTCTGAGTATTTATCCAAAAGAATTGAAACCAATATATCTATATCTATATCTATATAGATATAGATATATATATGTGTGTGTGTGTGTGTGTGTGTGTGTGTACTCCCATGATCATTGAAGCATTATTCGTAGTAGCTGAGATGTGGAAATAACCTAAATGTCCACTGACATATGAAGAGATAGAGAAAATGTGGTACAGTTAGCCCTCTGCCTCTGTGGGTTCCACAGTCATGGATTCAACCAATCTTGGATCAAAATAGTTGAAAAACAATTGTGTCTGTACTGAACGTGTATAGACTTCTTTCTTGTCATTATTTTTTAAACAATACAGTATAACAACTATTTAAATAGCACTTATGAATAGCATTTACATTGTATTAGGGATTATAAGTAATCTAGAGATCATTTAAAGTATACAAGAAGCCGGGCGCGGTGGCTCACGCCTGTAATCCCAGCACTTTGGGAGGCCGAGGCGGGTGGATCATGAGGTCAGGAGATCGAGACCATCCTGGCTAACAAGGTGAAACCCCGTCTCTACTAAAAATACAAAAAATTAGCCGGGCGCGGTGGCGGGCGCCTGTAGTCCCAGCTACTGGGGAGGCTGAGGCAGGAGAATGGCGTGAACCCGGGAAGCGGAGCTTGCAGTGAGCCGAGATTGCGCCACTGCAGTCCGCAGTCCGGCCTGGGTGACAGAGCGAGACTCCGTCTCAAAAAAAAAAAAAAAAAAAAAAAAAAAAAGTATACAAGAAGATGTGCATAGGTTTATATGCAAATATTACATCATTTTATATCAGGGACTTGAGCATCTGCAGATTTGGGTATTTGTGGAAGGTCCTGGAACAAATCCCCTGATGGACACTGAGGGATGACTGTATATATTAGAATATTACTCATCTTTTAAAGGAAATCTTACCATATGCAACTACACAGATGAACCTTGAAAACATTATGCTAAGTGAAATAAGTCAGTCACAGAAAGAAAAATACTACATGATTTCACTTTAAGGTATCTAAAATAGTCAAACTCATAAAAGCAAAAATAGAATGGTGGTTGCCAGGGGCTTGGGGCCAGGAAGAATGAGGAATTGTAGTTCAATAGGTATAAAGTTCCAGTTATGCAAGATGAATAAATTCTGGAGATTTGCTGTAGAACATCATCCTTACGGTTAACAATACCATACTAAACTCAAAATTTGTTAAGAGGGTAAATATCTTGTTATCTGTTCTTACCACAAAGTACAAAAATTAGAAAGACTGACCATGCTAAGTTTTGGTGAGGATTTGGAAGAACTGGAACTCTCATGCACTGTTAGCACTGTTGGTGGGAATGTTTAGTGATACAACCACTTTGAAAACAGTTTGGCTGTTTCCTAAGAAATTAAACATATGCCTACTATGTAATCCAACCACTTCACCCTTAGGTACCTAAGAGAACTGAAAGTATATATCCATACAAAGGTTGTTCATGAATATTCACAGCAGGTTTGCTTATAATAGCCAAAAAGTGGAAACAATTAAAATCCCCATAAATAGATGAATGAATAAACAAACATAGTATACAATGTGATAATACTCAGCAATAATGTGAAATGAATTATTGATATACACAACAATGTTAATGATTCTCAAAATAATTATGCTAAGTAGAAGAAGTCAGATATGAGTCCATTGACATAAAATTTATATAAAATTCAAACTAATGTATAGGACAAAAAGCAGACCAGTAGTGGCCTGAGGGTGTAGATGGGGAATGATGTGAAGGGGCACATGGGAGAAATTGTAGTAGGTATAAGGAAACTTGGGAAGTGATGTACATGTTCATTATCTTGATTATGGTGATGGTTTCATGAGTGTATACATGTCAAAACTTATCAAATTGTACACTTTAAATATGTACAGTTTATTGCATGTCAAATCTCAATAAAACTATATTTTAAAGTTTTAGTAAATTAGAAGGGATTTCAGATACATCTTTTGAATGATGTCTTTTGATAATAATGATAGATATAACAAAAATAACAAAGTAAATACACATTGTATATATGTACAATTCCATATTTGTAAATGCTAATAGTAATAAATAACAATAATCAGTGTTTGGAAAGGAATATTTAATTCCTTAGGTAATCACTTAAGACTGAAAAAGAAGACCCGAAGGGAAGGTTAGTGCCTGCTTGGAGGCACTAAGCCGATTAACTATTTATTGAAGCACTCTGAGCCAAGAGATATTCTGGAAGGGCTTTGAAGGCAATACTTTACCTGAGCCCACCCTGCTCTTTCTGAGGGAGTTATAGATTCCCCCAGACTCTCCTCATTGGCCTACAAGAGGGCCAAAATGAGTTCCATGAACTTCACAATAATGTGAGTCCATCAAACTCACCCATCTCAGCCCACACCTACCAAACATGGAGATCAAGAATGCAACTGAAATCCAGATAACCTCTGAAGCAAACTATAACCAGGAACTAGGGCCTGGGAGAAGGAGAAGAAAGAGTGCAGAAGGGCAGTTATCAGATAAGAGTATGTACTTTGGAGTCAGAGACCTGAGAACAGAACCTCCCTCATCTGCCACTTTCTTGCTACATAACTTGGTCAAGTCACATAATATCTCTGAGTCTTAGATTTTCTTTTTTGTTTTGCTAAATGGGGTCAATAAAAATTACTTTTCATTAACATTGTTAGGAGGGCTAAAATAAAGGATTCATGTAAAGCTTTTAGCATTGTACCTAGGATATGGTAAGTGTGCACTAGCTTAAGAATTAAGTTAAAAAATTATTTGAGAACTTGACTCCTGGAAATGTCCAGGTTTAGAGCTAATCTGGGCCCAGGAGGGACTGTTCCAGACAGTTCTTCAATAAAGAGGCCCAGAGATCAGCTATGGGTCCCTCTGCCCATCACTACTCACTAGGCTGTGGAGCCTGGACAAGCACCATACTAACATGAATTAATAACAGTAATTAATAACACTAAATAATGTTTATAATATTACCGAATGCCTTCCAATTATCCAAATATACCAAGTTATTGTGAGAATAAATGAGATACATGTAAATCATGTCCCAGAGTAAGTGCTTAGTAAGTATTATTTCACAGAGGAGAAGCAGGCTGAAAGGCACTAATTAATCTGAAGCCACACTGCTAAGAAGTGGCAGACTGGACACTTTGGTGCCAAGTTCTGAGTTCTTTCCACAACACAAATATGTCTAACACCCACCACAGATGTTGGTGTGCTCTGAAAATATTTGCATGACAGTTAATATTTGGAAAATGAACATCAAGAGGCATTCTGTGGTATTCCTTCACCCCAATCTGCAGTTTTTAAATGATTTCTACCAGAGCTGATATATGATCCCAAACCTCTTGGCCATAGGTGTTCATTTTTTCCCTATACCTTTTCCTAAATATGCCCAGCCATCTCCTTTCTAAAATATTTATTATATCTCCTTAAAACAAACATTCCTCAAATTCAGAAGTTGCTGTTTACACACTTCACTTTATCATGCACAACTATACACACACACACACATATATACACAAAGTCACATTATACAATCCTAGAACATAGGGGCTATAAAATGAATTTTGTTGACTGCCATCTACACCAACAGATTGGACTTTTACCTTTTCTTCACCAGATAAAAGGAAAAAGAAAAGAGCAATAACAATAAATTCCGGTTGAGTGATTATATAGAATAGGCAATAGATTACAGCTAGCAACAGTGTGTGTGTCCGATAGGAGCTCAGGCCTAGCTGGGTGGAAGCCCCACCCAACTACTTGCTTGCCGACCTTGAGAATATTACTCAACATCTCTAAGCCTCAAGTGCCTCACCTACCTATAAAGCAGAGATAATAATAGAACCTACCTCATAGGGATGTCCTGTAAATTAAATCAAATAATTCCTGTAGCAAACTTATTGTAAGTCCTGGAAGATAATAATGCCTAATAAGTGTAACTTGCTATTATTATTATTATTATTATTATTATTATTTTCCTCATTGTTATTCAAAAATCACAGAAACAAGAAGATAAAAAAAGAAAGAATAAATGAATAAATGACAAAATTTGGAAAATACCTTTGGATCAAAACAGCAGTTGTATTTGTAGACTGCTTTATAATTTTCCAAATATTCTTGCTTCACTCATCAAGTATTTATTGTGTTGGGCAATGCACTGTGTTCTGCAGATACTAGTGAATAAGACAGAGGCGATCCTTGTCCATTTATGCATTGGATCCTCAAAACCATAGTCCTATAAGGTAGATAAATCTACTTGACAGATAAGAAAACTGATGACTGAAGAAATTACAACTTAAAAGTAGACAATGGAACCTGAGATTCATTCACTCAACAAATATTTATTGAGTGCCTTTCACATGCTAGGTGCTTTGCTAGGAACTGGACATATAGAAATGAAGCTCAGATAAAAAAGTATTTGCTCTCATGTTGCTTACTTTCTAGTTGTGAGCATTAGAAAATGTCAAACACATATAACATCTAATATGTCAGATGATGATAAGTATTACATGGAATAATAAATCAGAAAGTGGAGGTGGGAAGTTCAGGTGCGATTTTGCATAGGGTTATTTAGGAAAGTCTCTCCAGAAGGTGCTATTGAGAAAAGACAGAAAAGATGGGGAAACTAAGGAATGATATATTTCACAAGGGTCCATTTAGGGTCTTCTAGCAGGCTTTGATTTGCTCAGGGCTTTCCTAGTGGCCTCTTTTACCTCCTTGTTTCTCAGGCTATAGATAAGGGGATTCAGCATTGGGGTCACCACCGTGTAGAGCACAGACACCACTCGGTCTCCCTCGGAGGACTGGCCTGTGTTGTCTCGCAGGTACATGAAGATGAGGGTGCCAAAGAAAAGAGCGACGGCAGTGAGGTGGGAGGCGCAGGTGGAGAAGGTCTTGGCCCGGCCTCCAGCAGAGTGGATCTGCAGGATGGCCACAATGATAAACAGGTAGGATACCAAGATCACCAAGATACAGGCAGGCATGACGAAAAGAGCAAACACAATAATCACCACTTCCTGAGTGTAGCTGTCCCCACAGGAGAGTTTTAATAGAGGAGGGAGGTCACAGAAAATGAAGTTGATCTCATTGTTTCCACAAAAGGAGAGAGTGAAGGCTGTGACCGTTCGAACAAAGGCACTGAAAAAACCAGCAACGTAAGCCCCAGTGACTAGGCCCCAGCGGGCCTTCTCGGTTATGATGGTGACATAAAGCAGGGGCTGGCACACGGCCGTGTAGCGGTCATAGGCCATGATGGCCAGAAGGTAGCAGTCGATGGAGGCAAAGAAGGTGAAGAGGAAGAACTGAGCTGCACAGCGAGCCTGGGAGATGGTTGTGCCGTGCTCCCACAGCACAGCCAGCATCTGAGGGATGATGGCGGACGAGTAGCAGATGTCCACCAAGGAAAGGTGGCTGAGGAAGAAGTACATCGGGGTGTGGAGCCGACGATCGCCACGGATCAGGAGGATCATGCCTGTGTTCCCTAACATAGTGGCAAGATAGAAACTCAAAAATATGAGGAAGAGAGGAACCCTCCACTGGAGATGTTCAGTAAATGCAGTAAGGAAGAACTCCGTCACTACGGTGTAATTCCTTTCAGCCATCCATCCAGTGGTTCACCTGCAACGGCTAAGACAAGAGCCAGATGAGGGGACAGCTCAAGAGGAGTTCAAATGATTTCAAGTAACAAAGCTTTAAATTGAATGTCTTACATGTCGGCACTCAACTTCAACACACTTTTCAGTCGAAGATAGATATAGACAGATATTGAGCTCACTGTAATATAAGATAAAAAGTGATGAATGCTTCTATTATAGAAAGAACAGAGAGCAAGTGATTCCTGACTTACAAGTCAGCGCTTGTATTTGCAACTCTGTCCCCAATTAGCTGTTTGATCTTACACAAGGCACTTAACCTCTCTGAACCTCAATTTCCTCCTCTGCCAAAAGAGGATCATAATGCTTGCCCTGCTTATGAGATAAGATTAATGCGTAGGTTAAAACAGAGGCAAAAGCACATTGGAAAGCTAAAAGCACTCCACATATATAAGGTGGCTATTAAAATTTTAAATGAATGTTTTAAGGAAGGAAAATTTATATTCTCTGAACAAAAACATATAAACAAAAAAATCTATTAGCAATCAGCAATGGGCTCTGCTTGTAGGAATATTACTATTCTCAGTCTAACAACATGCAAGTTTAACAAACAGCTGTTATCCTAATTAGAGTAGGCTGGCTTATTAAGGGTGTGTATACACACACATAAACACACACTCAAGCATTGACCTTGAAATCAAAAGAGCAAACATAAGTTTTTTTGGGCACCTAACAAAGCTCCATAAGCTTTGTTTGGTTGTTCTCAAAGCCCCTAATAAACACAGTAGCTTGAAAATAAACAGCATCCAAATTTGAAAGCAGAAATATTTTTGTAGTCTTGTGTTGTCTGAGTGCTGTTGGAGAAATTCGGATTAATAAATTTGGGGGTCCTTAGTGGAGTTCTAGAACAGGGCTGTAAAGGAGGGCTTTGATAGTGTTTGAGTACCTGTTGTACCAGCAGCCAGACCAATACTGAGCTGACCCATTGAGGAGAATAACAAAGAAAACAAATTAGATCTGAAAGTCATGAGCTGGACACAAACTGTCCTCACCTGAATTCTACTTTGCTAATGCCCTCCTCTTTTGTTTAGTGTGTTGTCTGCCCATCACCTGCCAAGCCAAAGGACACCTGGCTTCTAGTTCACCCACACTGCATGTAAGACCCTGGGCAAGTCACGTTTCCTCTCTGGGCTTCAGTTACCTTGCCTTTGTTCCCTTTCCGTAAATAAAATTGCAGATAACCCCATAATCATAGCAACCTGATGAGATGGGGTCACTTCCAATACTTCTGTGTTTTAGTCTCACTTCTAGGAGTCTCTCTCTTTCCTCTACCCCTTGACAAAACAATATATCCCTGACACTAGTGTTTCCTTAGATTTTTCTAGACTTACTTTGAGATAACAAGACTAGGGGACCAGCCTTTCTCCCTGAGCTTCCAATCTATCATGAAACCTTGCTGATGTGCTTCTTATATTCGCTGTCCCAGTATTACACCCTAATTGGTTCCTGAGGTGATTCTCCAGGGGAAGGAGACTTATCTTCATATGACTTCCTAACAAGGTGTCTAATTAATACCTTTGAAAGTTTCTCTTTAATTTCAAACTTCCAAAGCCCCATCCCTCAGCAAGGTCTGATGGAGCTGGCTCCTAGTCTTGCGTTCTTCCTGCCTTGTACCAAAAGAAATGTACTTCTTTGAAGGTTTCCTATATCTCAATTGGGAGTTTTGTCAGGGGTTTTACACAATGCCACCATAGCCAGCTATGAACTGATCCCCAAAGGAGGCTTTTTATAAGCATAAGCTTTTGCTCCCCATTGCCAAAACATGCTGTAATTGATGACTTCGAAAGTTCATCATTTGGCAGAAGTAGAGAATGGTGCAGGTGGGGAGTCATAAGATAAAATGTTGGAGAGGCCAATGTGGGTGGGCTGTGAACAGACTTCCACCAGGCAAGCTGAGCAAATTCTTGATGGTAACCAACCCCTCCACCATAGCACTAGTTCTCAAACTTCAGTGTGTGTAAGAATTTATCCAGAGAACTTGTTTAAAATGTGAATAGCAGTGTCCCACCTCCATAGATTGATGCAGATGCAGTACATCCGCCATGGGAGCAGTATCTACATTATGAACAGGCATACCAGGGGATTTCCAAACAGTTAATCTCCAAAAATTGTGGCACCAATGCCTTGGGATTGGGACCTCTAGACCTCCCTGCCCCTCTGTGTGTCCTGCCATAAACTAAAGTAAAATAATAAAGACATGTTCTTGCAAAGCATGATTTCTCCAAAGTCCTATCAGTGCCTTTCTTCCTCATGGGAGACCCAAGATAGGGTGAATGTGATGTCTCCCTGTCTTATCAATTTTAAAAACCTAGATACAGAAAGGACTCTGGAGCTTCTTGGTGGCAAAACAATGACTTGGACCAGGTCAACGCTCAGTTGACTGAACCTATCTGGAATATGGCACTAGACAAAAGGACCCCAGGGCAGTGGTTCTCAATCTTCACTGCACATTAGAATCACCTGGGAAGCAACTCGTAAGGCCCAGATTGTACCCCTTAACAATTGAATCAGAATGCCTGAGTGTAGGAGCCGAACACCAGTAATTTTCATAAATTCCCTGGTGATTATAACATGTAGCAGATTTGAGAACCATACCGGAAGGCTTGTCTTTTGAAGGCCTTACCTTTTGCCAGGTGTCGTAAGTAGACGTTCCAGGAAAATAGGTTCACTGTTCTCATAAATCTGGAGATCACTGCATACTACATTCTTCACATGGAAAATCACATTATATATTAGCATATTAAAGGATCTACAAAATCCTATAATTAAGAAACCTTGGCAAACTAATACAGGAACAGAAAAACAAATACCACATATTCTCACTTATAAGTGGGAGCTAAATGATAAGAATACATGAACATATAGAGAGGACCAACACACACTGGGGCCTGTTGGAGGGTGGAAGGTGGGAGGAGGGAGAGGATCAGGAAAAACAACTAATGGGTTGTTACCCATTAAGATTAATACGTGGGTGATGAAATAATCTGTACAACAAACCCCCATGACACAAGTTTATCTTTGTAACAAACCTGTACATGTACCCCTGAACTTAAAAGTTAAAGAAAAAGAAAAATAAGAAAAGAAACCTCATCAACTTTTTCCTAACCCACCATTTCCCAAAAGAATTTGAGCGCAGAACTTCTTTTTCATTAACGTCGTACAGAACTAGAGTTCTAAGGAAAGGATGCTCCTTAGGCAGTACAGCTCTAAAGAGGCTCAGAAACTGTCCAAATGCCAAATAGCAAAGTAGTAATTGTTCCAAGAAACAGCATCTCCTGATGACTTCATCTCAGGATCTGGCTCCTTGAAGTCTCTGACTGGCTCCCCCAGGAGCAATCACTCCTACTGGGAAAAGAATTAGAAGGGAGTCTGGGGAAGCAACATAATTCCAGGCGGATCCCTCAGGAATATGGAAGAGGAAACCACCTTGCCCTTTAAAGAATGTCTCTCTCTTTGATTGTGAAGTGGATCCAATGGCTGACCCCCTGCAGTTCTACTATATAATTACAACAACCCTCTTATTGCTACCCCATATGAAATAGACTGTGAGGCCATCAAGGCCCTGCTTTCAGGAAGCTGTAGTCAAACTTAAAACAACTGGCTTATTTAAGTGACTTCACTGAATCATTCTATAATGCATACATAGGCTAAAACATTACATTGTACCCTATAAATAAGTAAACACAATTATTATTTGTCAATTAAATTTTTTAATTAAAAAACACTATCAGAATGATTATTAAGATGGTTCAGTCACTGTTTGGCCAGTCCCAGAAGAGAAGCAAAATGAACCTCAGAGTATAGATAAAAATTTCATATATTGTGAGTATTAGAGCCTATAAAGCTGAAGTAAAAGAGGTTTAGAGATTTTTTTTCTAAGAGCTATAGATCTGAGCAGAATTTGGAAAGGAAAATCCCACAGGAAAATCCAACAGCAAAGACCAACTTAGCTGCTTACTGTATGCCAATTCACTCTTCTAAGAGATGATAGATGATGATAAATCAGATGATAGATATAGTTGATAGTAGATAGATAGATTCATAGATATATGATTAGGTAGACAGCTGATAGATGATAAATGGATGATAGATAATAAATAGGTAGATGATAGAAAATAGATGATAGAGATAGATGATAGATGATAGATAGATAGATAGATAGATAGATAGACAGATAGATAGATTCATTTAATCCACAAAACAATTCCATGAATGAGGTACCATTATTATCTTCATTTTAAGGAGATGAGAAAATTTAGCACAGATTGTTGAAGTGGACCACCAATAGTCCCACAGTAAGTGGTAGAGCTAGAGTTTAACCCAAGTGGTCTGTCTCCAGAAGGTGCACTCCTAATTCCTGTAGTATATTGCAAACTCTCATGAAGATGTCGCTGAATTCCACATTTGGGAATAATTGAGGGGTTCTTCCTTCTATGTCTGTACCTTCTAGCTATGTAGCTTCTAGCTTTTCAGAAAGAAGGGAACTCAGCTAACAGATGACACCTAAGTCTCAAAGTGAATAGATTGTGGTAGAAAATTCTTGGGGCACTTGACCAGGCCCTCGCTCCTTCTACGAAGTATCACCATGGCCACTGGTGAAGGGCTGGCCTTACCTTTCTAGCCATAGCCGATTGGACCAGAAAAAGACCCAAGATGACTTTATTTCAAGGGATAATCCTCTCTTCTTCCAAAAAGATCTTTTCTTGAACTACTTTAAGTGTTTCTTATAGCCAAGAAGTCATGACTTGTGGCCTGGAGGAACCAGGAAGTATGTAAGGAGAACATATCTTCAGCTCTTGCCCTGAAATTCATCTTCACGATCTTTCTCCATCCAGACTTAGGTGGATCTCATGCCAATTCAAGGCTGAGGAACACCTAGTGCCTATAAATTTGCTTTAGAAGGACTTTGGAAGGACTTATCCTACTGCAAACATTCCCCTCTCAATTCATCATTGCTATCCCTGCCCTCACTTTACATATTGTAGAACTGTGGAATTTTTTTTAGGCTCTCATAAGATGCTGGAACTGAAGGGGAAATTAGAGGTCAAATAACCCAGGCTTTTCAATCGACAGATGAACAGGCTGAGGCTTCCAAATAGGAAGATGTTTAATGATTACATCAGTAGTTAATTTGATTCCCAGTCTGTGACTTTTTAATGCCAAACTTGTTAATCAGCACTTTACCCAGTGGTCGCTTATTGCTCTTAAATATAGAAGGGGCCTCAAATAAAGATGACCAAATAATTAAGTGCATTAATCTTAATTCATTTCTATGCATATCTGTGCTTCCTCCAAATCCTCTCAGAGGTGTGCAATCCTGAGGTAAGTGTCCTCCATTGCTTCCCTTATAAGTTTTCTCTAAGTGTTTTCAGAGCCTTTATGTCTGAATTTTCCAGAATGATGAAGCCAGAAAGAACTCTGGAATCCAGTGCATCTTCTCATTTTACAGATGTGGAGAATGAAATCCCTAAGAAAGAATGACTTACAGTCCCTGGGTTTCTGCCCAGCAGGTAACATGGCTTGAACCCATAGATGAATTCACTACATGATTCTCAAAACAAGGTGAGGGCAGGAAGGGATGCAGCTAAGTCTCAAGCACAACTGTGATGAACAACTCCCATGACACCAAGAATTTCTCTATTGTCCATAATTGTTTCTGACTCAATGTTCTTTTCTTCAACAAAGTAGAAAAAAATACCCACTAGTTGTTTCTACTATTCACATGTTCTAGCTTTTTTGCCATAAAGAAGATGAAAAGTCACGTTTTTAGGTTCCAACTTTGAAAAAATCCCAAGGAAGAACCCAGATGTTATGTGGCAAAAAAATGGGGTACCAGGATTGGCCCAATGTCAATCAGTTTCCAGTCAGTGAAGACCAGAAAGATGAGATCTACAGGGAGATAGAGTACTTGCGTGACCCATATGGTTAGAGTAAAGAATGGAGCATTTCCCAGATAAGAGAGAATGCTGTTCTGTGAACACAAAAGAACAGATTTTTACCACACAATGGTAAGAAGAATCAGAGAAATTCCCACTGCACCTGTGCTTCAGGGAACCCCACAGAGATGTTGGCTGAGCAGTGGCTGAGGGAGGCAACAGGTGGCAGAGTGAAAAGCATGTCGGCCACTAGAGTCTAAACAGTTTCTGTTTACATCCTATCTGCCATGAACAAGGCATTGGGAAGACAATGGCTGCTTGATAATTTTTTAAGCTTAAGCCTGACGTCTAGGGCCAATGTAAGATGCAGAAAGTTTGTCTCTGGACACTCCATCTTCCTTGGCCTTAGCCATTCCCATAATTCTCAGTTTCCAGGTTCTCAAGTGCTCTCTCTCTCCATCGTAACCCATGCTCTGAGACAGGTCTCAGACATCTCCCTCTGAAGGAGATGACTGCCAATGCTTTATGTGAAATCTCTTCTCAAATAATTTAAAATTTAACAGGGCTAAAGCCTAGATAGAAAGAATCTGAGACCACAGAGGGACTCATAATTCTCTTAATCAACCTGCTCCCCCATTTTTCAGATGGAGAAATTGAGATACAGAACAAGGAAGTTGTTTTATGGAAGGACACTCAGCTGATCAGGGACCATCACCACCCAACATTTCCTATCATATCCTATAGTCTCCAAGAAAAGGTCAGGCCAACTAATTTAAAGCAAAGGAAATTTAAACAAAAAATAGGGATTTAAGATGGACTCAGGTCGTTCTTGGCTACTCAAAAATCGTGCTATATTGCTCATATCCACTGCAACCAAAATAAAGTAATATCTGCCAACTCGCACTTACCAGGTAAGAGCTGTGGCTTTTCTTCTCCCCATCTTGTACCAAGTAGTGTGGTCCCCAGAATATCTCATTCATGTTTGGGGCAGAAAATGGTGGGAGGCCCTCCTGAAGCCCACTAGAAAGGTCATGCTACCAACAAGTCCCTTCTTTGACAGCTCCTGAGGACCTGGCCCCTGATAGTGAAGGTCTGCTTGAAGGGCACCCTGTGTTGGCAGACACTTGAGAAAGGTAATGGGAGGAGCTGGCCTGAGCGCCTGGTGTGAGACCAGGCAGGATGCAGATGGATGCTACCATTGCTATTCCCTTGTGAGCTGGATGTCCAAGGTTTCTCTTCGGAAGACCTTGTTATTCTCCTTTTAGGTACTATAGCCACATTCAAAACATCCCAGTAGATGGTGTTTCCTGGTTTGAGTAACCTGGATTTCCCTTAAGCAGATTTCCAAAAGCAGATTTTTTCAAGCTTTATTGAGGTATAATTGCTATGCAAAAAAAATACAGTTATTTAATATACATTTTGGTGAGTTTGGACATACACATATCATATATCTGTCACCTCCAAAAATTTTCTAATGTTCTTTTGTGGGTTTTCTTTTTTGTTGTTTTCTGGGTTTGTGATTTTTGGTTTGGTTGCTTGATTGGTCTTTTGGTGGTAAGACTATTTAGCATGAGATCTATCCTTTTAACATGTTTTAAAGTATTCAATATATTGTTAACTATAGATATTATGTTGTACAACAGGTGGCCAGAACTTATTCATCTTGCATAACTGAAACTTTATGCTGATTGAACAATTCCCCTATTTCTTCCTCTCCCCAGCTGAGGCAATCACCATGCAACTCTCTGCTTCTATGAGCTTGACTTAGGTTGGTGAAAAGGTATTGTGGTTTTGCCATTGAAAGTAATGGCAAAAACTGCAATTCCTTTTGCACCAGCATAATATTTTTGGACACCTCATATATAAATCATGCAATATTTGTCCTTCTGTGACTTGCTTATTTAACTTAGCATAACGTCCTCTAGGTTAATCCATGTTGTCAAAAATGGTAGGATTTCCATTCCAGAATTAAAATAACTGAACAAAAAGAACCACAGGTTTTTTATTTGGATGAGTTCAACACAAGGTATAGCAGAATGTAAGGAAATATTCACACCTATTTACAATCAGGTAACTTCCCTATTGTCAACTTTTCTTAAAAATGTCATAATTGAACCCCGACTCATCTTCCATACCTAAATGGAAAGCATTTTTTAACTTTTCCTGAGCTCTATTTATAGACTAAAAAGTAGATGATGTTCCGTATACAACATGGGGTTTCATGACCACTAGTTCCTACAGCCTTTTCACTTAGCCCTTCCTTCTTGAACATAAATCTGCAGATACTTGTTTAGAATTTAATCAGAAGGAGGCATTCATTTTTTTTCTTCTACCTGGCAACTTATTCTCTTAGTAGCCCCTTTCCATTCATCGTGTACTTCCTGACTTCTGGTAGATTCTAAGACAGCAAATAATTCCTTAGTATACTGCTTTTATTCACACAGACACAACCAGGAGGGAATTTCATATCACTGATTCAAGCTTTCCAACATTTCTTTAACATTTTTTACACAACCTGTAACACAATTGACACATATACTATTTATTAATCATCCCCCTTAGTAAAGCTATAAATTTTAAGCCTGGGTTTTCACAACCAGACAAAACACTATTAAAGGGATAAAATATTTCTTGTGAAAATTACAATATGTACTTTAAAATATTCTGTCTTCTAGAATAAATATAATGTCTTTAAAGATTCAGATGTG
This sequence comes from Homo sapiens, assembly GCF_000001405.40. Classification (NCBI taxonomy): domain Eukaryota; kingdom Metazoa; phylum Chordata; class Mammalia; order Primates; family Hominidae; genus Homo; species Homo sapiens. The sequence continues at coordinate 58,181,855 of NC_000011.10, read as the reverse complement.
TTTTATTTTACTATAAGCCACCTTCCATTGAATATCCTTTGGCTACCTGCATGCTGAGTCTCCCACCTTTCACATATCTTCTTCCCATTTAAAGTCTTGTAACTGGAATTCTGTGTTTCACACAGCATTTTTGTCTGGCTGAGTTTAAAATCATCCTAGGTTTGTAAGATACCGTCACCCTCTCCCCACCTTTCCCTTTCCACAATTGTTTATATCAATCACATACAGGGTACCCTGGATTTTTTGTTGTTGTTGTTTTGGTTTTGGATTTTTTTTTTTTTTTTTTTTTTTAGTAATCCAGGAGACAGGAAAAGAAGTTTGAGTTCCAGGTATAAAAATTTGTTTAAATGAAAAAAAATTAATAGATGGGGCCTGCTCTCTTCCAGTGCCTTGGGTTTGATTGAGACAAGTCCCCTGTGATTAGAGAAGTAAAGATTAAGAACAGACAGATTTTGTGAGGCTTTGGATGCAGGCTGAGCTGCTGCAGAGTGCAGGGACCCAGGATAGGCGAGGACCACCCTCCTGCCTATCGCCATGTGGAATGCAGCAATGTTCTGCCTCCCTGAAGGAAAAAGCTTTCAGAACACAGAGAGTCAATGTCTATGATACAGACACTGAAGACGCCATTATGGGCAGTGGGAATGGTATAACTTTGCTAAGTGGATTTTTAGTCATGCCATATGACGAGAGAGAACTGTAATAGGTAGGAAGAAAAAGAACAGGGCATATATCCAGAGGTGATAGCAATTGACAGACATGTTATTGTAGGCATTGTTAAAAGTTTGTGTGAGGCCTTCTTGAGAACTACTACCAGAATATTAAGGCATACCTTGAGTAGGGTCAGCTTTGCTAATTGGATCATCAAACGACCATAGTTTGATCATTAAAAATAAATGTAATCTAAATATTGAATCCTAATTGATGATATAATTCTGAAGTGCATAGAAGTAAAGGGTACTAATGCTGATGTCCGGAACTCACCTTGAAATGAATCAAAAAAAGGTGGTTTGATGAGTGAATTGATTGATGAATAAACTCACGGATAGATTACATCTATGTAACCAAGTAAAGACAGCAAATATTAGCAATTACACAATCTCAGTACTGAGTATAGGAAACTTCCTACATATTATTTTTAACATTTCTATATGATGAAAATCTTTCATTAAAAATTTTGCAAAAAAAATTACTCTTATAATCACAGACAGGTGAAGTGTGCCATATTTGGATTGCACAGGCTTTAATTTCAAATCCTTTTGTCACTTGTCCTGGGAATCAAAACTCCCACTCCAATCTCTTTTCAGGTTGACTTTTCCTTGTCTTCCTTCCTCTCCCTGGAGCTAAAAGTTCTGGTTCTTTTTTATACCTAGTACCATAATATATTCATTTAAACATTGAGCATGCTATAAATAATGAGCGTCCAGAATTCTGACACTACAGAGTAGGTGGTTCTCGGGATTTTCCAAGTTTGGAGATGGTTAGGACAACTTGGCTCTATTGAGAATTTTTCTCAGGGCCTCCTTCACTTCCTTGTTCCTCAGGCTGTAGATGAGGGGATTCAACATGGGGATGACCTCTGTGTAAAGCACAGACACTACCCGATTCTTCTCCGAAGACTGATCTGAGTTACCTCTCAAGTACATGAAGATGAGGGTACCAAAGAAGAGTGACACAGCAGTGAGGTGGGAGGTGCAGGTGGAGAAGGTCTTGGCCTGGCTTCCAGCAGGGATCCCCATGATGGCCACGATGATAAACAGGTAGGACACCAAGATCACCACCATGGAAGCAGGGATGACAAAAATGGCAAACATAATAATCAGCACTTCTTGAGTGTAGCTCTCCCCACAGGTCAACTTTAACAGAGGAGGGAGGTCACAGAAAATAAAGTCAATCTCACTGGTTCCACAGAAGGAGAGAGTGAAGGCTGAGACTGTCCGCACCAAGGCACTGATGAGACCAGCAACGTAAGCCCCAGCCACAAGACTCAAGCGGGCCTGCTGTGTCAGGATGGTGACATAAAGCAGGGGCTGGCACACAGCCAAGTAGCGGTCATAGGCCATGAGGGCCAAGAGGTAGCAGTCGATGGAACCAAAGAAGGTGAACAGAAAGAACTGAGCAGCACAGCGTGTGTAAGATAAAGCTGCCCCATGCTCCAGCAGCACTGCCAGCATCTGGGGGACAGTGATAGATGAGTAGCAGACGTCCATGAAAGCGAGGTGACTCAGAAGGAAATACATTGGAGCGTGGAGCTGGTGATCCATGAGGATCAGAATAATCATCTCTAAGTTCCCCAATACGGTGATGAGATACATAAATAAAAACAAGAGGAAGAGAGGGAGTGCCCATTCAGGATATTCAGTGAATGCAATAAGGAGGAACTCGGTCACCAAGGTGAGGTTCATCTCTGCCATGACACCAGTGGTCCCTGAGACATGTAGAATGGGAAGCAAGTTAGGAAGGTGCAAATAGGATTTACCTGTATTTGTAGTTCACATTTATTGAAAATGTACTGTGGACAAAATATGCCAGGTGTGCCAGGTGCTGTGGCTCACACCTGTAATATCAGCACTTTGGAAGCGAGGCAGTGGGATCACTTGAGCCCAGGAGTTCGAGACCAGCCTGGCCAACATGGTGAAACCCCATCTCTACTAAAAATGCAAAAAAAATTAGCCATGCATGGTGGTGAGCACCTGTAATCCCAGCTACTCGGGAGAGAGGCACAAGAATCATTTGAGCCTGGGAGGTCAAAGCTCCCATCTTGGCAGTGAGCCGAGATGGCACCACTGCACTCCAGCCTGGGCAACAGAGTGAGAGCCTGTCTCTCTCTCTCTCTCTCTCTCTCTTTCTTTCTTTCTCTCTCTCTCTCTATAATATATAAAATATATATTATGTATATTATATGTAAATATATATTATATATAAATATATAATATATAAATATATAATATATATAATATATAAATATATATATAATATATACATATAAAATATGTCAGGTGTGATGTAGGGCTTCAGAGATGACTGATCTTAGCTCCTGCCATCAACGAAGTCCTGTGGCATAGAGTCATCTTAGCATGTTGACAAAACAGATACAGGTAAACATTCTCAGAACAGGGGTGCACATTCTCGCACCTCTATTGCTAAGTAGCTGTGTGAGCTCTGCAAGCCAGATAGCCATTCTGAGCCGAAACTTCCTTATTGCTCCACCAAGTGTTGACACATGGTCTCTTGCCTACCATTGTAATATCCGTGTCAGGACTCTATCCCTTTTTCTCCGTGACCACAACTCCTCCCTGATATCAAATCCTCTCCAACTGTCACCTGGATTAGAACAACATCCGTGGAACTAATTATTCTCCTTGTCTATATATTTGCTTCTTCCAAATTCTTCCTCCTCACTGTGGTCAGAGTGATAATTCTAAGACATTAATTTGATCACATCTGATTCCCCTGTTAAAAATCATGCCACGGTGCCCATCATGGAAAGGATATTTTTGGAGAGTCCTTGTGATAATTTAACGCATCCATATAATTTGTAAAGATCAAATCAGAGTAACTAGATGTCCACCACCTTAAATATTTGTCTTTTTAAAGTTCGAAATACGCAAATTATTTGCCTCTATTTTGAAATATGCAATAGATTACTGTAATCTGGGATGGGATAATATTTTGACTCCTCCACATGTTGGAAATGCCTCTGTGAGATCTCCTCTGCTTATTTCTTCATGTTCCTTTCTTGCTTCTAAATCCTGATACCCACAGCCACACTTCACCCTCTCACGCTTCTCTCCAGACGTATTGAATTATTGGCAGCTTCTCTAATCTCCCCCAGGTTCTCCTACATCTCTGCACTTTCAACAGGACAAACCCCTTCTGCCTAGAACACCTCTTTTGCATCCTCCAAGTCCTAGCCAACTCTTACCCTACCTTCAAACCTCAACCCAGATCGCACTTTCTACAGGAAAGTTCTCTCCTGTCTGCCTTCCCTGGTCAGAGCACGTGCTCCTGGAGCTCAGCACATGGTAAAGGTTTAATATTTTCTCATGGAATAAAGTTACCAAATAATATATGAGGCACCTTGCAAAGGGAAATGTGCTATACACATGTTCAATGAATTACTTTTATTTTTGTGAAAGTGTTTAAAAACAGAAAATGCCCGAAGTCTAAGAACTCACTAAAATTGATCAACAGTCACGAAGCCCATAAGCCATTCTTGGGTTTATACTTTTTTCCTCAACCTAACAATGTGCTTACTTAGCAGAAAGCTGTTACCTTCATTAGAGCCTCTTCATTTACCAAAAATGCTTTTATAAGAACTGATATTGTCCTTAATAATAGAAAACAGATAAACACTATTCTAAATTATTTATATATTAACTCATTTAATCCCCACAACCACTACATGAGGTAGGAACTTTTCTTATCCTCATTTTACGGATAAAGAAACCAAGAAAGAAAGGGCTTAAGTATCATTCCCAAGGCTGCACAGCTCAGAAGTGGTGGAACGGCCATTAGAAACAAAACTGTACACAGAATCTCTGTTTAGTTTATAGCAAGATTTTACTGCATCACCTGATTATTCCAACAGCCTCTACTCAGAAGGTGTCCATCATTAATTAAACAAACATAAATACCAGCTCTGCAGTCTATTAATATCTGAAGACTGATAGAGGCTTTTGAGCTAACAGTAAGTTCTTTGGCAGAGTTGTAGTGCAACAGGATAGAAAGGACATTGGATCACCTTTAAAGCATAAGACTTTGGCAGCTATGATTGTGTCAGACTGACCTATTGGGAAAAAAATGATAATTAAAGGAAATTGGATCTGGTGATCTGAATGGAGCAGGAACCAAGAAAACCAGGTCAGTTTCTTCACCTGAATTCCACATCTTTACCTGGCAGGTCCTCTTCTCTCTTTGTCCACTATTTTTCCTTAATGTCTAAAAGGTCATTTCTCACCCACTGCTTGGAGAAATCCTAAGGGTGTAGGGGCAAAAGTATTCTGCTGAGCATCAGGAAGTCTGGGTGGTTCTTGTTGCCCTCCCAGACTTGCTCAGTTATAATGCTAAGCAAATCTCCTGGAGCCACAGTGTCCTCTTCCCTCCTACATTCCTCACACACATGCACACACAATGTGTGCATCAATATGGGGACAATAATAACTTCACTGCCTGAAAGTCAGTCCCTGGACCCTACCATCCTCAAGATCCTTCTAGCCACTTCTTTTCCGCCAAAGACACCGTTTTATTCTTTGTGTTTCCAGATCTGCAAAATCTGATTAGGTTGCACTCTTCACTGGTTTTTGTTCAATTCCAGGCAGGGACAGCAGAGATTGGGGAACAGCCTCTTCCTGTGGGCTCCCAGCTCCAACACAAATCTCTTTGGAGAAGACACTAATAATTGCTACAAAAGCTCTGAGGTCTCCAATCAATGGCTAAAGTGTTCTCTAAGGAAAGGCAATTATTGCACATGTAGGTTTCTCACTAGGCACCTACATAGGAGGAGAAAAGACTTTCTTCCCAGTCACGGTTCTCAAAGCCCTGCCATGCACCCACTGAGTGGGGTTTAAAAGGCCTGAATCCTAGTTCTGCATGGTCCTTTGAGGAGTTAGATGTATCTAACTTTAATTTCTTCCATCAGAACAATGTCAGAAGTTATGCCCATTGCCACCTTCACCACTGTGGCCATATCTGGAAGAAGAGTGCTTTGGAAGCACAGGACTTTGCTCCACATTACCCAGGAGGGCCAACTGGGTACCCTACACAGAAACCTCAGCAAGACACATCATGTCTTCTGTTTGCCCTCTCTGGGAGTCAAGTGCCTCATTAAAATCTTTCCCTTTTTTTTTCTTTAAATGCAAATGAACACATGGAGAAAACAAAAGCCTGGGATGTTGCTCAGAGGAGAAATTGGCAAGTTTGTCTTATTGGCATAGCTTTTGCCAGCTCTCTACATCTTTGACACAATAGTATTGTTTTAGCCACAAATTCATAGGCATTTTGTTGAGTCATTGAATTTTGACATGTCTCAATTCAAAAAAAAAAAGGAAGATAAGGAAAAACAGAATAATTGCCCTCTTTGACAATTATGATAACCAAGAGAAAATGGAACCATGTGGTACATTGACTCGTCGCTGTGCTAAGAGTTCTAAAAGAGAGCAAGAGATGTGAAATGAAACAAAAAAAAACCACAATGCCTACCTATGAGGAACATGCAGCCTAATAGGTGAGATTCTTATCCATTCTATAAGATAACAAGTACTAAACTCCTAAGCAAGGAGTAGGTACAGTACTATGGGAATAGTAGTATTATGGGAATACTATTCCCTCTACTATGGGGATAGTAGTAAACAATCAAGAAGCAGGTAAGTTACTAGGGCAAGATTACTTACAGGTAGGGTAAACTGGGGAGGGCTTCGCAGAGGAGGTGGACTTTGTCAGTTCGGACAGAAGAGAGAGTGGGAGAATGATGGGCAAAACTCTTTAGGAAAGGGGGTCAGCACATATATGGGCAGGAGAGCCCAAGGGATACTCCAGGGACAGTGAGTGACATTGCTCCTGACCTTGAGACTGTCCGCTACCATCTGACTCCACTGCTTTCTCCACTGAGAAAATCTTTTGTTTGTATTTCTCTTTTCCCAGTTCCAAAATCTTCCAAATCCCTATCCTACCCAATCCACTGAGAGGCTAAAAATTTTTATATATTGTTGTGCGTAATAATCTAAATCTCCTTTTTTTTTTTTTTTTTTTTTTGAGACAGAGTCTCACTCTGTCGCCCAGGCTGGAGTGCAGTCGCGTGATTTCAGGTCACTGCAACCTCTGCCTCCCAGGTTCAAGCAATTCTCATGCCTCAGCCACCCTAGTAGCTGGGATTACAGGGGTGCACCACCATGCCCAGCTAATGTTTTTATTTCTAGTAGAGTCGTGATTTCACTGTGTTGTCCAGGCTGGTCTTGAACTCCTGGGCTCAAGTAATCTGCCTGCCTCAGCCTCCCAAATTTCTGAGATTACAAGCATGAGCCACTGCGCCTGGCCTTAAATCTTTAAGCTCTAAAGAGTTTCAATTTAGACCTTGCACTGAAAGTCCTTAAATTTCATTATGAAGATATCCTTTAAGATACTTTCCTCAACAAAGGGAAAAATTTTCTCTAATAGAGAAAAATTAAGTCAAACAGCAGTAAACTTTATTTTTTTTTAACTTCTAACATACTAGATAAGGATTCAATGCTAAAAGAAGTCTGAGAAGCTGGGTTAAATGAAGTTAAACAACTATCTTTACTAGAAAATTTTTTGAAGATTTTAGTATGATAATATCCTTTATAAATCTCCAAAATGAACTGTATATTATGCAACAATTCTCAAAAGTATTTGACCATGGGGTACTTAGTTAGCTCTTGTGTTGTAATAAGCACCCCAGGTTGTAGCACACAACAATGAGCATTTATTCTCACACTCATAGGTCTGTGGCCAGACAGGATTTAGCTTATTTAGGCTGGGCTTGGGCTCGGCTAACTTGACCAAGCTGCAGCTTGATTCACAATCTGTTTCATGTGTCTCTCTTCATATTTGGGTCAGCAAGCTATGCAGGGCATATGCCTCTAAAAATGGCAGAATCACAAGCAGACAAAGCCCCATTACACAAGCACATTTTAAGTCTTTGCTTGCATCGGGTCTACTCATGTCCCACAAGACAAAGCAAGCCACATAGTCAAGCTCAACATCCCTGAGCAGGGGAGTTTATCCTACTCACAGTTGGAGAGGAGTGAAGTTTATTTTATGAACAATGATCCAATATTCCTATTGTCCATAAATACTCTTATTCTACCCTCTCAAATCACATACAAAATATACTCTTCATCACCCTAAGCTGCCCAAACCCCGACCTGTAAACTTCAACAAATTACATCAAGATCAAAGTCTAGGATCTTATGATCTCCATCAGGTCCAGGTGCAGCTTCCCTTGGTTTACAGAATTATGAACTACAAAGACAAGTCATATGTCTGCCCACAAATACCCAAAATGTATTGGTGAACAGGCAGAATAACCACAATAAATGCTCCCACTAGAAAACAGGAAGAACGGCAGGCACATGGCAACAGTGGGTCCACAGCAATTCTGAAACCCTCCTGGTAAAATGTTGCTATGCCCTCCCAACCTGGGATAGAAAATATGACTTGTTAGGAATCTGCTCCTTTGGCTGAGGGGGTGGGGTTCAGGGGGCCAGGAAGAAGCTCTCAGCTCAGAGTTCCCTGTGGCTCTTAGAAAATACCATGACACTATTCACAATAGCAAAGACTTGGAACCAACCCAAATGTCCAACAATGATAGACTGGATTAAGAAAATGTGGCACATATACACCATGGAATACTATGCAGCCATAAAAAATGATGAGTTCATGTCCTTTGTAGGGACATGGATGAAACTGGAAATCATCATTCTCAGCAAACTATCACAAGGACAAAAAACCAAACACTGCATGTTCTCACTCATAGGTGGGAATTGAACAACGAGAACACATGGACACAGGAAGGGGAACATCACACACTGGGGACTGTTGTGGGGTGGGGGGAGGGGGGAGGGATAGCATTAGGAGCTATATCTAATGCTAAATGACGAGTTAATGGGTGCAGTACACCAACATGGCACATGTATACATATGTAACAAACCTGCACATAGTGCACATGTACCCTAGAACTTAAAGTATAATAATAATAAAATAAAATAAAATAAAGAAAATACCATGACCATTATGATTTTTTCATACCCAAGAGTACTTTAATCCTAAATGTAAACAGCTTTTATTTTTTTATTTGTCCCTTCCAACCAGTAATTTTTTTTACCACTTATAGTTTACTAGACAGAAATCATTATAATTTTTGGATAAAAGTATTGGGGCATATGGGGAAAGTAGGGATAGTTAATGGGTACAAAATAATAGAATGAATAGACCTAGTATGTGATAGCACAACAGGGTGACTACAGTCACTAATAATTTAATTGTACATTTTAAAATAATTAAAACAGTATACTTTGATTGTTTGTAACACAAAGAATAAATGGCTGAGATGATGGATACCCCATTTACCCTGACGTGATTATTATGCATTGCATGGCTGTATCAAAATATCTCATGTACCCCATAAATATATACACCTACTATGTACCCACAACATTTTTTTAAAAAAAATCTTACAAGTATGAGTTCTGGGTCAGATTGCCTGCGTTTGAGTCCTGGCTCCATCACTTTCTGGAGCCAGGGATCTTGGGAAATATGTAAAATCTCTTGGTATTTTGACTTCCTCATCTACAAATTGGCAATAATAATACCAACCTCAAAAAGGCATGGAGAATAGTAAATAAAGGGAGGAAATAAAAACACTCTTCACTAATGTACCCTGATAGTTAGTAATCAGGATGGTGTTTCCCATACAGTTCCCAAATTTAATCATTCTTCTGCTTCCTGGTCTGAATCTACACACATTCAATGACATCGTAGAGTTTATAACAACCGTTACTTTAAGATTGCTATAAAACTTTCTGTCTAGATTTTAATGAATATAGAACACACTAATAATAATTGTGATGACCACAGGAATAGCCAACATCCCTGTGCCCACTGAGTGCCAGGGAATATGCCATGCATTTCACATATAATTTCTCACTCAAGGACAAAATTACAAATCATTCAAACAAAATATAACATTTTTAATCATATAAGGAAATACAGGAAATATCCTCAGAGACAACAAAGCATTCTTTGTCTGGATGGCAGTACTCATAAATCTGTTATGCAATTGTCTCCTCATTAGCTTTTCATCCCATTTTGCTCAATGTTAATGTTCTAAGGATGTTAGCCTTCCCTGTCGCTGTCATTACATAAGGGAATTTCAAGTATTTATCAATATTTTCCCCCATTAAAATATGGAAATTCTTTGTTGATATTCAGCCTCTGTCTTACATTGCTTCCCCTAGAGCTGGACTTTATGGAAAACTTCTGGCTGGAAAATTCTCTACCTCTGGGGGCCTGGTTCCATGCCTAGTTTGCATGAACACCTGCAAATGATAATGAGAGCCCAGATGGTTAGTACAACAGAGGAGGTTGTTGAATGTTTTGCAGAGCTATGAAGGTAATTAGAACAACTTGGCTTTATTAAGACCTTTCCTCAGGGCCTCCTTTGCCTTTTTTTCCTCAGGCTATAAAATTGGAATGGTCAGCCTGGTGTTCACTACAGTCTAAAACATGGTCACGGCCCTCTCCCCTGTAAGGGACTTGCCTACTGCTGCACACATAGATCAAAGCTGTAGTCTCAACAATCAACCGAACTGCAGTTCTGCATGAGGCAAAGGTAGAAAAAGGTTGAGGAATCTTTGCCTAGAGACCTGATTTGCAGGTGTTTAGATGGCCTTGCTGATGAACAAGTCAGAGAACAGGATCAAAACTAGTCTGGTCAGAATCATATACAGAGCAAAGTGAAAAATCAGCAGCTGCTGGAGGAAGCTATCACCCAATTCAGGGTCAGCAGCAATGGAGGTCACAGAGAGTGAAACCTATAGATGAAGGCACAAAAGGAGAGTGAGCAGGTGAAGTGTATACATTGGATTACATTTGTCAAACCCTCTACAATATGCAGTCACCAGCTTCTGCCAGACATCTTGAGAGTTGTGATGGTGTCATAAAGCAAGGGTTGACAGTCCCACAAAATAATCATAGACACATCTGAAAATCTATTACTATCTAGGATTTCCAAAGATCAATTTCAGTCAAATAATATTCTAAGTGCTAGTTTCCCATCAATGAGTCCCAAAACCACCACCCCTCAATATTCCATGTTCCTTATAGCCCTTGTTTGACCTCCATAATTCAGAAAGCAGTGATTACTTGTCACATGCTTTTCTTTAAGTGTGGGCTTGATACATCATGGAATAAAGGAACTAATTGAACTTCTAAATAGATTTTTAATGTATATTAGTCCATTTTCATGCTGCTGATAAAGACATACCTAAGACCGGGTAATTTATAAAGAAAAAAAGTTTAATGGACACACAGTTCCACGTGGCTGGGGAGGCCTCACAATTATGGCAGAAGGTGAAAGGCACATCTTACATGGTGGCAGACAAGAGAGAGAATGAGAACCAAGCAAAAGGAGTTTCCCCTTATAAAACCATCAGATCTCATGAGACTTATTCATTACCAAGAGAACAGTATGGGGGAACCACCCCCATGACTCATTATCTCCACTGGGTCCCTCCTATAACACATGGGAATTATGGAAGCTACAATTCAAGATGAGATATGGGTGGGGACACAGTCAAACCATATCACAATGCATTAAAGAAATGATCATTTTGACAGCAAAGCTTTTAATTGCAAGGGACACCACGTAGAAGGATACAAGGATTTCTTTGGAATTCCTGAAAATGAATCTTAATATAATAGCAATCATGAAAGAAAGGAAGCAGAGAGTTTATACCATTGGGCATAAAATCTGCACTATGATAAAGAGTTGTTTTCTTCCTTGAAAAAAAATGTTATGTGTAGGCTGGAGAGGAGTTCAGAGGATATCGCAGTTAGATTGTAGATGTTGCCTGGATCCTTAAGAAGGAGTCAATGTCCCAGTACCCCCCAAACCTGAGTGAGGGGGTCTGTAAATGATACAAGTCCTCGTCTCATTTTTAGAAGCATCTGAAAAAAGGGATACTTATGCCTCACTTCCTAGGATAATTTATGGTAAGCCATCTAGAGATTCTCTGCATCCACCATGGCAGCAAAGCAACATACCAACATGGTTGATGGAGACTTCTAAGCAGAGGGACAAAGATAATTTCACAGAATCCTGACACCTCCATATTAAAAGTCACTGAGAGGGTTCAAAAACCAAAGGAGTCTGAGGGCCATAAAAAGAGAATGCAGACTGTATGTCTCTTAAAAGAGAATCCATGGCTTGATCATGGATGGCAGCAGCAGATAGGAGCAATGGCAATAAGAACCAAAGGAAAAAAAAAAGAAAAAAAACAGCTTTCTTTCTACAGAGAACAGTGAGAAGAGGGAAATTAGTTATACTAAATGTCCCGTCCTGATGCCAGCATGATATGTAAAGCCCTGGAGAATTTACATCACATCCTGGAAAAAGAGGGGAACAAAAAGGAGAAGAAGAAGGGGGATAATGAGAAAAAATTTTGAATTGACAGTTTAAATCCTGAATGTACTATGTTCAAAACTGAAAGTGAGTTGCTTTGGTTTGGAAAAGGTTCATTTTACCTTCAGTGGAAAAGATTGAATTCAGTTAAAATGAAATTTTAAGAAGTTATTTTTGTTGCACACCTGTATTAAAACTGTAAATTATAAACCTGCTACGCTTCCCAGAGTTTAAAGCAAAAAATGCCACCAGGGGGAAAGAGAACCATGAAAAAGTTAAGAGGCACAAAAGATAGATATCTGCTCAATAAAAGTTCTAAGAGAATATAAAAAGAGGATGATAATATTTAAAAAGAAAAAAGGAGGAAATTTATTTGAGCTTAAAAACAAATCTTAAGCCTTCAGATCCAAAGAGCTCACCAAGATTCTAATACCAGTACTGAACAAAACATACTTCTGGACTCAAGGATTAAAAGAATCCATTACATGTTTCTAGAGAGGGGGAAAAAACAACAAAGCAAGTGACCTATATGAGAACAAGACTGCCATCAAATTTGGCATCCACTCTACTGAATACTGGAAGCCAGAGGAAAGAAAAATGTCTTTAAAAATCAGAGAAAATTATTTTGCATTTAGAATTTAATATCCAATCAACTGTCAGTCAAGTTTGTGTTAATCATACAAGACACATTGTCTGACCACAATATAAGGCATACAGAAATTAATAAAGGCTAAAAAGAGTATCAGTCATTTTGACACATTAAAATGGCCTGCTCAGTTACACTTGAGATAATGTGAGGCTCATCCTGAAATTGCAAACTATTTAAAAATAATTGACATTGATATGTACTTATTAAAACCTGTGAATTTTAGCAACAACAGTTAAGGGGGACAACTAGGCCTGGAAATGCATGTATTAGACAATATGGACTACAAAAAAATAAATAAAATATACACACAACCACAAGAAGCTAAAGATAAATTTTAAAAATTTTTAGTAGAAAGTAATAACATATAAGACAAATTTTTTATTGGATTTGATAAACCAGGAGGTGGATTCTTGCAATACAATAGACAAACCTATTGCCAGTCCAAAGGGAAAAAAAAGAGGCATTGGAAAAAAAAAAACAACAAATAAATGCCACTAGAATTGATTAATGAGAAAAACACAGTTTGTAGAGGTGATTTTAAATTATGAGAAGGAATGCTTCACCCATACCAGATCAACAAAAAAATTAAATATGACCTGAAGCTACGTATATCAATATGGGTAAATCTCAAAGCCGTCATGTTGAACAAATTGCTGGCAATTTGAATATAAGAACAGTATGGTACCACAGATGTCAAGTTTTTAAATAAATACAAATAAACTGTTGGTTATTCTGGAGACACAAATATGGAGTGAAAACATAAAAGCATGTGTAGGAATGTTAACAGCAAATTCAGGGTAGTGGTTAGCTCTGCAGGAGGACAAAGGACTAGGATCAGAGACTGGAACACAAAGGATTTCAAGAATATCTTTACTGAGTTATTTTTGAAATCACACATAAAGCAAAATGTTAAGATTTGACAAATCTGGATGGTGGGTAGATGAGTGTTTATCATGTGTCAGTTTTTGGAATGAAATCTATTATTTTAATTCAAGTCCAATAAAACTCTCAAGGAGATTTTTGCCAATGTTATTTGGTTGCCGTGTTGATTGTATTGATGAATTCAGTCAACAGCCTCCCTTTTGAATGCCTTTTGCAATGTGATGGCAGCTCCACCCTTCAAGAGATAGAGTCTATTTCCCCACCCTTGAATATTTGCTGGTTTTATGGTTTCATCCAAAAAAATGCAGCTGAAGGGATGGTGTGCCATTTCTGAAACTAGGCTTCAAGAGACCTTGCACACTTCTACTTCTATTTTGACTCTTGGACCTTTGCCATTGCCATGGGAACAGCTTGGGCTAGCCCGTTGGAGGATGAGACACCACATAGAGGAAAGCACACTTGTTTCAGCCAAGGACTACCTGCAGCCAGGCAACCCCCAAATACGTGAGAAAACCTTGCCAAGCCCCAACCTGATCCACAATTGACCGTAGATGCATGAGCCTACCCAGCTAAAACCAGAAGCACTAGTCACTTTATAGTCAGTTGACCCATAGACGCAACTAAAAATTAAGCAATAATAAATGCTTATTGTTTTAAGCCAGTAAGTTAATATGGCAATAGATGACTGATATATTGATAAAACACGACAAGCTGATCTAAAAGTTTATCTAGAACCCAAGATACATAAGAAAAGTAAAGAAATTTTTGAAAAAGAATAATGAGATATTTTGCCCTATCAGATACCAAAATAAACCCCAAAGTTTCAGAAATTAAAGAAATTGAGTTAAATAATACTTTAGAGTTAAAATATATTTGTGTAACAGAAAAGTACTAAAAACAAACTCGAGTAAATATAGAAATGTATGAAAATGAAGTGTCAAATTCAGGGGTAAAGAAACTAATAAATAATATTTTAACAGTTGGCATATTATATTTAAAAATTAATTACGTGTCTGATTAATTTCACTTGAGATAATGGCCTCCAGTGTCATCCACATTGCTGCAAATACTGCATATTCTCACTTATAAGTGGAAGGTAATAAGGAAGCCAATGTGTACACATGGACATAGAATGTAGAATGACAGACAATGGAGACCTGCAAGGGTGAGGGAGTGGGAAACGGGTAGATGATGAGAATACTTAATGCTACAATGTATGTTGTTCAGGTGATGGATACCCTAAAAGCCCTGACTTCACCACTATACAATCTATGCATGTAACAAAATTGTACTTGTAAGCCATACATGTATACAAATAAATAATGTGTGAAATCAAGCAGTCTCCCTGTCCTCCCACCCCCTACTCCTGGTCCCCTTCACTGATCCTCAGAGCATGAAAAGAATATGGTTCCGACTTCATTTCTTTCCTCCTTTTGAATCTCATGCCAAATGTTTCCCGCAGTCCACAGTGAACCAAACTATGCAAAAAATAAAATTGTGGGAAATGGGGCTCCACCTTGACTAAATTAACCCAAATCCATGAGCAATTCCACCTCTAACCATTTATCATCAGGAGGCTGAGCATGAGTACATAACCAGTCACATTCAAAGATGTCTATTGCAACATTGTTTGTTATTGGAAAAAATTAGGGAAATAAGTGAATAATCTGCAGCCTTTAATAAGAAGAGATACTTGCAATTAACAAGTTACAGTGACATCCGTAATTGTAAAGTAGAATGGCAAGTTGCAGAAGATGATATAAAATATGATACAATTTTTGTTGAAATACAAAAAGTAAATAAATGTTTGATGAGTATAAAAAGTTTCATACGAAACTAATAGGAGTTACTTCTGGGCGAGAAGATTGGGAAACAGAGGTAAAAGAAAGGAGCCACTCTCCCTTTTTTACTTTGCATGTATCCTTTCATTTTATTGTAACAAAAATGTGTTATTTTTGTAATAACCCCAATTAAGTCTTTAAAAGAAAGAGACTACCTAAAAATATAAATCATGGGAATTGATAAAATGCTAACAAAAATATGTGAGAATCCTAGGCTGTGCACTCAATGTATTTAACCAGATCCCATCTATTGCAATAAAAAAAGTTAGTAGCAATCATCATTATCATCGTTATATGGTTAGTCCAAGGAGACTTTTTGGTGACCCACCGTCTCTGCCTCTTTCCTGCAAGCTGAAAGACATCGGAGAAGAAATTTGTAAATGTAGAGAAACCTGGGTAGCAGTTTATCATTTTCCTGTGCTGAATAAACAGCAGAATTCCTTTGTTCAATCTGATAACTTTTGAAGGTACATAATTTTGTAAATGTCAAATCCTCAGATGAAGGAATTTCCCAAAAGATATGCTCACTGAGGTACTTGGGAGCGGGAAATGTCTTTAAAGTATTACTCAATCCAGTGCCTGGGGTCAAAGAACATATTTTAATCCCTCCTTGGCACTGCTAACGATACCTGGCCCCTTCAGTCAATAAATACTCATTTACTGTCCAACGAGTGTCAGATAGTGGACTGGAAGTGCAGGAAACAGCAGGGAGCAAGTTTCACATGGATCCTGCCCTATTGAAACCTTTAAGGCCCATTGGGGAAAACAGACATCAAACAAGTAACAATAAGTGGTTTGTGCGCTTCCAAAAAACAGCAGAGAGGGTACTGCAGGAGCAAACAATTAGCCAACTTAGTCTATTTGGGGAATCAGAGAACAGCTCAGTAAATGTCTACAGAATTTATTAGAGGGCTCTGAATGTGGGAGAGACTGTTGCCTAAACAGTCCCTTCACAAAAGGGATCAAGGAGTCATGAAGCCACAGGAGGTAATATTAAATGATCAGGGACAGTTTTAAATAGAACTTCTGGAAGAAACACAATTTATCTTTCACTCTGTAGGCATTAAGCGTGTGTTAGATGCCAGGAACCATGATGTATGTGTCTAACCTGCAGGAGTACATTCACTCACTTGTCATTTAGTCCACAAATATTCACTGGGCACTTATTATCTTCCAGGGACTGCTTTAGGCATGGGGGCACAGGGGAGAACCCTGCTCCTATGAGCTTGCATTCTTGTGGAGTGACAGAAAATAACACAAAAGGAAAACATATATTATATCAGATAGTGGTGTGCTATGCAGAAAAATACAGCAGAAAAGAAAGTTAAGGAGGTTGCTATTTTCAATAGGGTTATCAGAGAAAGCCTCATTAAAAGGTAATAAGTGAGCAAAGATTTGAAGGAATCAAGAGAGAAGAGAGCAAGTTATACAGACATCTGGAGGGATAGCATGCTAGCAGAGGGAACAGCAAATGCAAGGGCTCTGAGGCGAGACCATGCCTGGTGTGTTCAAAGGACAGTAAGGAGTTCAGAGTCTAGCAGAAAAAACAAGCATGCGACCAAGGAACTATTTTATAATTCAATTTGACAAGTGACGATGCAAGAATTTTTTGCTCATTAATTAAGAGCAGCCATGGCAAAATTCTAGTGTTGGACTACCGAGAGAATGTTTGATATTGCTGAAAGCACCTGGGCAGCAAGGTCAATGTGAAACAGTCACTGTGCACATGACAAGTAAAGAAGGTTTGCTTTGGCAGCATTGGGATGGGTGTGGACCAGGTGAACCTGATCAGTTTCCTCACCTGAAACCCATCTCACCTTTCCCTGAAGAATCTCTTTACCTCCTTGTTCATTGTTCTCTGTCTGCTCATGACCCCTGCTCTTTCACTGATTGTAATCTTAAGGTGAGGATATAGAAAAAGAGCACCGCATGGGCAACCAGACACGTGGTTCTTCATTCCCACCGCCTGCCCCATCCCCACCACCATCCTTGACTAGCTATGTGGTCCCAGGTAAGTCTCTTATCACTCTGGCCTTCCATATCATCATCCGTTTTTCTTATTAACTCCTCAAAGCAATATGAAATAATCATAATTTGGCCACCTAAAGACAGGAACGTGGAAGGATTTAATTTTATCATTCTCTTCTCCTCCTCTTTCCCTTCCCATAAATCCCTACATGCGCATCCCCCCAACCCCTGCAAGCCGAGACAAGGTGGGGGAATATCCTCTGTCTGCAGGCTCCGGCTCCAGCGTAAGACTCTACTAGTTTGTTTTGCCCCAACACTGTCATAGCCAATCCGTGGCCAGTGTGGGTCTCCAAGGAGAGATTACTGCTGATATTGGGATTATTTATATGCAAATAGCCCCTTTCATGTAGGAAAAGAGAAGGTTTCTCTTCAATCTCCATTTCTAAAAGCTGTACACCCAGTTGGGCCATCGCTAAGAATGGTTAAGGGAGCCTGAATTCTAGTTCTGACTTGTCCCATGAGGAATCATTTATCTTCCAAGGTCCAGTTTCCTCAGTCAGAATAATGTCATGAATCACAGGCTCTGCCACCCTCGCCAGCTGTGTCCTGGGAGAACGGCCCCCTGCCCAGCTATTTACCTAGAATAGGTAGAATGGAAACTGATCCACCTAGGAAAAGGCAAGGCCCATTGTAGCCTCTAGTTTGCCCTCCCTGGAATCAGGCACTTCATCAAGTTTGTCCTTTAATCTTTAACACAAAGAAAACCTTAGGGAAAAATAACTAGGACAAGTGCACTGCCCAGAGAAGCAACTGGCACAGACAGCAAGTTGGCATGACCTTTACCAGCTCTCTGCAGCTGAGAAATTGTGGTAATTATTCTTAGCATCTGCACATGCATTTTTTATGAGTCTCAAAATGTCCAGACAAGAAAAAGGAAGAGAGCAAGGTCAGGAGGAAACTCCTTTGACAAAGGTGGAGCCAGGAAGGGGACAGGTGGGGACCATCTGCACATTCAATCATTTCTCATTTTTGATTAAGAAAGGTGGTCTAGAGACCAGGGCTGAAATTTATACACACACAGATACACACACATATTTCCTGCCTTCAAAAATTTTATACTTTACTGTTAGAGGTAAGCCATATATGTAATCAATCATTCCCATACCAGGATAAAATTCAGGGGAGATGATTTCCAAGGAAGTGGCATTTGAGCTGAACCTTAAAATTAAAATTTGAGCAAGATACTTAAAATTGCACATTCCCTATTCTTCTGACCCTGGCTTCATTTTCACCATAGGAATTGTCACCTTCTAACATAACATATGATGTACTTATTGTATTTATTGCCTATCTGATTCACCCCTCTGTAAATTCCAAACAAAGCTTCTCTCTCACTTTCTTTCCACCCCATCTTTCTTACTAGAGAAAGAGACAAAGAAAGAAAACTTGCTAAGCTCTTATATTTACAGGATACCTTTGACCTTTCAGAACAATGTCCCTTCCATTTTGTCCTCAGAAGAGCTCTGCGAAGATCCGAGAATATGTGATTCTCCCCATTCTGCTGAAACAGTAACAAAGACATGGGGTAGGAGGGATGAAGGTTACCCAAGGTCACTCACCTGACACCCACCAACTTTACAGAGATGTCATTAGTCTCTCACCTGGCATATAGGAAGCACTCAAAATATATGAATTATTATTTCATTTTTCTTATGTCACATTTTTTCAGAAAGAAGGTATTAAATAACCTTCTTAGTATTACCAGCTGGTACTGTAGTGAACATTGTTCTCACTCCTCTGCCTTTGCTGCTCTTTACAGCGTCAGAAAATAAAATCACCCTTCCCTTAGTGCCCTACCTTTTCCAAAGACCCAGAAAGGTTTTCTTCCAACTACCATAGCGTGGCATAGACAGCTTCACCAATACAAGGCTCCCTCCTATTCCTCGCTCTGAAACAATTTTAGCAGCATGGATTCATTAACCACAACCTTGCTACTGTTGCAAGTTAGAAAGCCTGAGTTTCAACACTGTGAAAACCCATTATTAGAGCGAGTCTCCTTCCATGTATGATTACAGATAATACATTCAAACAAAACGTAACATTTCCAAAAGATGAAAGGTGATTTTCTCAGAGAAGTTAGGACATTTTTACTTATAATGACTTCTTGTTACTCGTAATGAATGACAATAATGGTATGTTAGCATGTTACACAGTTACAAAGAAGGTGAGTGTAACTGTTAGGAACCTTCTTCAAGAACTCCTTTGTTTTCTTGTTTCTCTAAAATATAAATCAAAAGGTTCCACACAGGAATGGCATGAGTAAGCTATTTAGCCACCTTAACCAAGTCAGTGTGATCAGTATCCAGTTGCCAATTAGCACCTACGTGGAGCTCTATACATGCTTTAAGGAGGCGAGGAAAGCTCTGAGCAATGCTATTTTGAGGAACCTTGAGCTTGCTGTTGCTTTCTGGAGAAACAAGGAGGTTCTGATTAATTGGATATAACAGTTTGGACTCTCTAGTTTCAAGTAACAAAAATCAACCAGAGGGCCGGGTGCGGTGGCTCACGCCTGTAATCCCAGCACTTTGGGAGACCCAGGTGGGAGGATCACCTGAGGCCGGGAGTTCGAGACCAGCCTGGCTAACAGAGCGAAACCCCATCTCTACTAAAAATACAAAAATTAGCCAGGCACCTGTACTCCTAGCTACTTGGGAGGCTGATGCAGGAGAATCGCTTAAGCCCAGAAGGCAGAGGTTGCAGTGAGCCTAGACAGTGCCATTGCACTCCAGCCTGGGTGACAGAGTAAGGCTCTGTCTAAAAAAAAAAAAACAGAATAAGCCTGAGCAAAACAAAAACAAAAGGAAATTTATTATAAGGATATGTGTATCCAGAAGCCAAGCCACGATTACAGCTGGGCTGAAGATTTCCCACTGGAAATCCC